>NC_000010.11:8040303-8191818 GCF_000001405.40 Homo sapiens | reverse complement strand
CACTGTCAGGTTCAACAAATAATATTTGATGAATTAATGAGTGAATGAGTGAATGAGGGAATGAGGAAATCTCCTCCTTTTCCTCAATATCTTCAAGAAAAAAAAATCCTTATCCACATAGAACAATTTAAAAGGCTTAAATGACGTTTCCTTTTGGACTTTTTACTGTGCACTTTTTCAATACATGTTCCTATTATTAAGGGGACAAGTTTTTATCCTAGGTAACTTGTGAAAGTAAGCTGTTGTTCTGAGATTTAATTCTAGAACATTGCCCAACTGGCTTTTACCTTTGACAAAGATGTAATCTCAGTTCATAATTCAGCATTCATGTAGCACTAATTGCTAATAAACCCTTTACCATTTACTGTTCAGTTGTTTTATTAGTGTATTAGTCCATTTTCACACTGCTTTAAAGATACTACCCAAGACTGGGTAATTTATAAAGGAAAGAGGTTTAATTGGCTCACAGTTCTGCATGGCTGGGGAGGCCTCAGGAACCTCACAATCATGGCAGAAGGAGAAGCAGTCACGTCTTCCATGGCAACAGGAGAGAGAGAGGATCCAGAGCAGAGAAAAACTGTCGTATAAAACCATCCAATCTTGTGAGAACACACTCACTATCAAGAGAACAGCATGGGGAAACTATCTCCATGATCCAATCACCTCCCTCAGTCAACACGAGGGAATTACAATTTGAGATGAGATTTAGGTGGGGACAGAAAGCCAAACCCTATCAATTAGACTTTTCTCAATGTGCTCCTCTAAGGTAAGCCACTATTATTATCCTAACTTGGTAAACAAAGAAACTGAGGCACACAAAATTTAAATAATTTGTTTCAGGTAAGGAGATGAGTCACTGCATAGAAGAGCCTAGAACTCCTGTGTTTCAGCAGATCTCACCAAGCTAAGCACTGAACACACAAGGCCATTCAACACAGTGGTACTCCGACACCCCTGTGTCACGACCCCTGCGTCACCTCTCCCACTAGCTTGGTTGTACTTCCACTGTAATTCATTTTTGCAGCCCCCGTTGCTAACACATACTGGGTATACAGTAGGTGCTTAATCAGTGGTTAAATAATTGATTTTTTAAAAATTATTTTTAGAGATAATGTCTGGCTCTGTCACCCAGGCTGGAGTGCAGTAGTGCGATCATAGCTCACTTTAACCTAAAACTCTTGGGCTCAAGCGATCCTCCTCCCTTGGAAAGATGTTTGTTGAGAATCTACCATGTGCTATGTAACATGCTTGGAGTTTTACATAAATTGACTAGTATTTCAAATGCTAGTTCTCTGGGGAATATTACATGAGTTATACAGTACACACACAGAAAATGTATATACCCAAAGTTATGTCTCTCTAAGAAGATTACAGATTTTGATTTGTTTGGGCTTTCTTTCTTTCTTTCTTTCTTTCTTTCTTTCTTTCTTTCTTTCTTTCTTTCAGACAGAATCTTACTCTGTCACCTAGGCTGGAGTGCAGTGGCATGATCTGGGCTTATTGTAGCCTTGACCTCCTGGGCTCAAGCAATCCTTCCACCTCAGCCTCCTGAGTAGCTGGAACTGCAGGTACATGCTATCACACCTGGCTTTTCTTTTCTTTCTTTTTTTTTTTTTTTTTTTTTTGTAGAGATGGGGTCTCTCCATGTTGCCCTGGCTGGTCTTGAACTCCTAGGCTCAAGCAGCCCTCCCAAAGTGCTGTGATTACAGGAGTGGGCCACTGCACCCGGCCGTGGTTGAATAATTGAGATATAGTGCCCACTGAACTGACTGCTCTAATGAGGTACACAGCAAGATACTCTGCTAATACCTCCGGGAGTCAAAGGCACGCCCGTCAGCCCATTCTCCATTTGTGGCTTGGATCCCACTCTCTCCTGCCTTCTTGAGAAGCGTCTATTCTTTATTAGTTCGTCTCTCTCTTTTCAAGTCCACTGTTCCTCTTCTTCCAGATCCTTCCATTAGCATTAACATGTTCAAGCCTCTACATCATCTCTAGAGATCACATGGATTTGGAGATTTTAAAGGAACTGAGCTTCAATTACACACATCCTCCAGAGACTGCCGCTTTTCCCTTTACCTCTTCCAGACCTTCCGCCTCCATTTCCCGCCCAGCCCAGCTTCCATTCCCACTCTCCAACTGCAGGGGTTCTCAACAGCCACCAGAGCTACGTAGATCTCACGTTACAAAATCCCCTGGTAGTTACTTTAATGCTCAAGCCTTCCACACAGTGACCCCACCCTCTCCAGCCATCGTCCTCTCTGCAGCCACCCGACCCATCCGCCTTGCCAGTTTATTCTGCTTGACTAGGTGATTAAATGGTAGAGATTCTGAAAAGACTCTCTCTTCTCATCCTGTATTCTTTCCCTCGGCAATCTCTGCCATGCCCGTGGTCTGTTTGCCAGATGAATATCATTAGATCAGCGACTTCCCAAATTACATCTCCAGCCCAGAACTCTTCTCGGCATTCTAGATCCATCTATCAAAGTACCCATCCAATGACTGCACCCTTCAACCTTCCTGTTTCTGAAACCTCCCCCAAAATGCCAGATTCTCCGCTCTGGACGTGGTCTTCCTCTCTGTTTCAGGAAATAGAAAGACAATCTGTCCAGCTGCAGAAGCCAGAAACCTAGGAATGGCCTTTGTTCCCTCTCTCCGTTCCCACGCATTTCAAGTCATTCACCAAGCCCCATCAATATCACTTCCTGAAAATCTTCCGGTGTGCCCACATCCCTTTCCGCCCCTCCCTTAGACCCTAACTCTTCTCTCCACACTCACTCTTTCTCTCTCTCTCCTTTTTTTTTTTTTTGAGACAGAATCTTGCTCTCTCTCCCAGGCTGGAGTATGATGGCATCTCAGCTGACTACAACCTCTGCCTCTTGGGTTCAAGTGGTCTCATGCCTCAGCCTCCCAAGTAGCTGGGATTGCAGGTGCGCCACCACGTCCAGCTAATTTTTGTATTTTTTTATTTGTTTGTTTGTTTGTTTTTTGAGATGGAGTTTCACTCTTTGTTGCCCAGGCTGGAGTGCAGTGGCACGATCTCGGCTCACTGCAACCCCCGCCTCCTGGGTTCAAGCGAGTCTTCTGTCTCAGCCTCCCAAGTAGCTGGGATTACAGATACCCGCCACCACACCCCAGCTAACTTTTGTATTTTTAGTAGAGATGGGGTTTCACCATGTTGGCCAGGTTGGTCTCAAACTCCTGACCTCAGGTGATCCACCCACCATAGAGATGGGGTTTCGACACTCTTGCTCAGCCCTCTCCCCACTCCAATCCACACTCCACACAGAAAACACTACCCTGACCTTGTAACACATATGCCTCCCTTAAAAGCCCTCCAGTGTCTGCCCCTTGCTCTGAGATTAAAGACCTAAATCTTCAGCATGACCCATTAGGTTTGCAGGATTCAGCCTCTATATCCACCTGCAATGTAATTCCCTCCCACTCTCACCCTGAACTTCTGTCTTCCATCCTCTGACCTTCCCCCAGGTTCTTAATTGTGAAGTGCACCATTCCCCTCAGGACTTGACCTATGCCGTTCCCCCTCCTAAAGACCTTTCCTAACAACCAGCAACCTTCAGATAATAAACAAAATACATTAGATCAAAAAACAGCTCAAATATTTCCTCAGGGAAGGGTTTTACGATGTGATCTCCCAGATTAAATCAAGTCCCATAGTCTCTGTGACGTGGAGTTTTTCCAAAGAAATGAAACTTTCATGGGATTCAATTTCAATGACATGCCGGGATAATAAAGTAAAGTAATTCCATTATGTTGTTTCTATGAGCAGAGTTCGAATAACCAAATATTATCACTGGAACAGATTTTAAGGTCCTTCAATTCAACTGTACCCCACCTGGTTTCCACAGTGCTCTGGTGATTAAAGCCACTAAGGAAAAGGCCCATCGGCAGGACTTTGCATTCCTTTACCCCTGTTTCACCTCTGTCTTCATCAGAAAACTCTACTGTTACAGGGAGCCTCTCTGTACCTATTCTGGTTCAGGGACTGCTCAATTTAAAAAAAAAAAAAGGAAAAAGAAAACTCTACTATTATAAATTGAGATTCCATAGAATATTCTGCAGGAGGAAATGGTTTAGCTACTAAAAGGGATTTGAAATACATTGGTCTAGCCCAGCTATTTCACGATCTAAACTGGGAGGTTGAGTCCTGCAAACAGAAAGTGACTTGCACCAAGTCCCAAAGCTAATTAATCGCAAGGTCAGGGTTGCATTCCATAGAATCTGTGCAAAATGGTCAGCTTGCAACCTGGAGAAGAGCTGCCAGCAGAACTACTGGCCAGAAGTGTAAAATGAGTGAGTTGTTCATTGCGAGGAAGAGCCAGTAGGTTGAGATACAGGGCGTGGAACACATTGTGAAATAAAAGTCAGATATAAACAATTCTGGAGATATGTGAATCTTATTTTACTGGCTGTCATTTTCAAGATTACAAAACCCCAAACTAATTTTCTCCTTCAGCCTTTGTTGATACAAAGATGCACATATCTCAAGTATCTAGCCTAATCTCAGTGAGTACAATAAATATTATGACAAACAACTACTTAACAAATTTTCCTTAGGCCTTATACTGTCAATGTCTCCTGGATCCAAAAAAAGAAAAGCAGATGGATTGAAAACCCACAGTGATAAGGTCTATCACTGGCTAGTTCAGATGGCCAGAGTACAGTGTGACTAAGGCCTGGACCTTGCAGTGCATCTCTTTTCCATAGCTAACTGTTCCCTAATCGTTGGCCAACAGACGCACCACTGGGTCACTGACTACCAAATGCTACTCAATCATCCTTCAAGGTCAGCTCAAGCATCTCATTATACTGTCTTCAATGTGGTCTCCCCTCTGACTTCTTGTAGGTTTTAGTAGCCATAGTATTCACTTGGTGGCCAGGCACAGTGGCTCATGCCTGTAATCCCAGCAATTTGAGAGGCCGAGGAGGAAGGATCACTTGAAGCCAGGAATCTGACAACAGATGGGGTCACAAAGCAAGACTGTGTCTCTACAAAAAATAAAATAAAATAAATTAGCCAAGCATGGTGGTGCACTGTAGTTCCAGCTACTTCAAAGGCTGAAATGGGAGGATCACTTGAGCCTAGGAGGTTGAGGCCGTAAGTGAGTCGTGATTGTGCCACTGCACTCCAGCCTGGGCAACAGACCCTGTCTCAAAAGACAAAACAAAATAAAACAAAGTATTCACTTGGCATTTATCTTGGGATACTCCACATTGTTATTTAATCCATTAGCATATGTGGTCTTCCTAATTAAATTATAAATCTCTCTGCTACAAAGAGGATATCTTATGCTTCTCAGCAGATCTTATACCCTGCCCCACTGATGATAAGTACTCAATAAATGTTCATTGATAATAGTAATGATAATGCTGACAACAATGAGAGATGAACCAAGAAAATTTCCCCTTCATCCTCTGCTGGAAAAAACTGCTCCAAATGCATACCCTGCTGTTCAAGGCATTTCTTATGAAAGCACAATGGATAAAAAATAATAATAAACATTTGTGCTTGCTTTACAGTTTATACACATTATCTCACATGAAAGCTACTCTTATTTTCTCTTTTCTGGGGAAGAATGCTGAGGCAAAGAAGAATTAGGCAGCTCTCTCATCATTCCATAGAGGCCCTGAAGAAGGAAGAGAAAGCAATGTTTTCATATTGGTAAAGACCAGTAGGAAAAGAAAAACCATCACTAAGGAGACGTCTTATTTAAAATTCAGCAAATAAATAATCATGGGGAAATAAGTTCCACATTGGGAGAAGCATATAAAAGGAGACATATCATTATTGTGATTAAACAAATACTTCTTTCTCTGTTTTTTTTTGTTTGTTTGTTTGTTTTTTGTGAGACAGGGTCTCACTCTGTCACCTAGGCTGGAGTGCAGTGGCACAATCACAGCTCACTGGAGCCTTGACCTCCTGGATTGAAGTGATCCTCCCACCTCAGCCTCCCGAGTAGCTGAGATTACAGGCACACAGCACCATGCCTAGCTAATTTTTTTTAATTTTGGTAGAGATAGGGGTCTCTCTATGTTGTCCAGGCTGGTTTTGAACTCCTGGCCTCAAGCAATTCTCCCATCTCAGCCTCCCAAAGTGCTGAAATTACAGGCATGAAGAGATTACACCTTGCATAGGAATTACATTTTGTGTTTTAAGAGCACAGAAAATAAATTAAGACATCATGCCAAACACAGTGTTTCATGCCTGTAATCCCAGCACTTTGGGAGGCTAAGGCAGGCAGATCACCTGAGGTCGGGACTTTAAGATCAGCCTGGCGAACATGGTGAAACCCCGTCTCTACTAAAAATAGAAAAATTAGCAGGGCATGGTGGTGCACACTTGTAGTCCCACTCACTCAGAAAGCTGAGGCAGGAGAATCACTTGAACCCAAGATGGAGGTTGAAGTGAGCTGAGATGGCACCACTGAACTCCAGCCTTGGCAACAGAGAGAGACTCGATCTCAGAAAAAATAAATAAACAAATAAATAAAAATTAAGACATGATCCTGTCATTCATTTATTAATTCAATGGATATTTATTAAATGCCTGCTCTGTGCCAGCATTGAATGAAAATAACACTTGACTTCCAGACAAAAGACCTAGATTTAAGACTGGCTTTGTTATTTAGTAGCTGTGTGGCCTCTCTTTGCCTCATTTTCTTTGCCTGCACAGTAGCAATAATAATAAAACTGACCTCACGGGTTATTCTAGATATGAAAAGATGAAACACAGCCCCCAGCTTGCAGGAGGCTGCAGAAACACCATGGTGACATCTGGCTCAAACCCAGACTTAACAAATAAACTTCTCAATATTTGCCGCATCAGGACACGTGATTGCTATTGCTTTGGGGCTGTAAAATTAGGGGTGCTAAAAAAAATCAGAGGTGGTGAAATACACAGAGTAAGATACAGAGTAGGGAAGACAATGGCAACATAGGCACAGAGAATCAGAGAGCCAAAAGGAACCTCGGGGCTGGTCCAAGGCTCTCACTTTTCTTGTAAGGAGACAGCACAGGCTTTGAAGACAAAAAGCCTTGGGATTTTTTTTTTTTTTTTTTTGAGACAGAGTCTTGCTCTGTCACCCAGGCCTAGAGTACAGAGGCAGGATTTCGGCTCACTGCAACCTCCGCCTCCCGGGTTCAAGTGATTCTCCTGCCTCAGCCTCCCGAGTAGCTGAGCTTACAGGCATGCACCACCATGTCTGGCTAATTTTTGTGTTTTTAGTAAAGACGGGGTTTCGCCATGTTGGCCAGGCTGGTCTCGAACTCCTGACCTCAGGTAATCCACACACCTCGGCCTCCCAAAGTAGATCCTTGGGTTCTGATCCTAGCTCCCATACTTTCTAGTTGTGTGGCTTTGTGTCCAGGACAACCCCTTTAGCCTCATTATGTCATTTAATGGGAATAATCACGACTACAACACAATTGTTGTGTGGATTCAGTAAAATAGAGCATGAAAATGTGGAACGTAGTAAGCTAATAGTAAATGACATGTTCTTTTTAGCATTTAGATGTTTTTGAAATATTTTTGTTTTCTGGGATATTTTTATGGCCTGGAGAGGGTGGGGTGAGTTACATGGTAGCCGAAGAGAGAAAGATTGGAGTCCGGAGTAAAGACTGGTACAGAAAGAAGGTGCCAGATCGAGTTCTGTTCCTTTGTCTGCTGGGAATTCTGACAAATCCAGGGACAAGAATGGTATAGAAACTGAGTCATAACTCTGCTATGAGACTCTGCTGTATTCTATGAGAAATGGAGTCAACTTTACCGGGAGAAGACTGTAATCTAAGCTAGAGGAGAAACTACAGCCAAGAAAATCTCTGCTCTCCGGGAGCAGGCAGCTAGTTATTGATGGAGCTGGAGTTCATGTGCACATTTTTTCAGGATACCAAGCTTTGTACAATCCATTTATTCATTCATTCAAAAATAAATAACGGCCACCACCCCAGTGCCTAGAATCATAATCATAGGGTAATATACAAAACTCAGCTTACCAGAAATGTACAATGGCAAGCAATGGCCTCAGTGAAAATTACTGTAATCTAGAAACCCAAGGAGAACAAATCAATGCTGCCTCTCCCTGCTCATTATCCACTGTGGATTTCAAACCAATCAGAAGAGATGTGCATGCTGGGAGAACACTGAGAAGCTAGGAGCAGCAATCTCTGCCAGCCACTTGTGACTTCCTGTTCTGTCTACTGTGCTTCAGGGAGGGACTTTCCTAGGTGGTATGCTAACCTATATTTTTCAAACAATTAGATTGTCTTCAAACCAAAACCTGCCAAAACAGAAGAAACATTTTAACAAAACCCAGCGAAAGTAGCGTATACCTTTTTTTTTTTAAATCCACAAATGTGAAAAGTTTTTGGTAAGCTTGAATACTCTGCTACCAAATATTACATCCAATTCTGTTGTCTGAGAAATGTTTGAGGCCACACGATAGGAACACCACATCCTAATGAGTAATGAGGGTTACATAACAGCAGAGATAAGCAACACCACCCGCAGATTGCATGAAAATGCTAATGCCGACTTCTTGGCCATAATGTGAAGTAAAAGGAAAGAAAAAACCCTCCAAATATTACTCCCAATTGTTGCAGAAAACCATGCTTGGTTTGACATGAGTGCTGATGACACTTTTTCTAATTGTTAGCTCTTTGTTTGAAAGGTCACTTTTTTTCATTCACAAATCGGAGTGTTTAACAAGAACCTTAGGAAAGTTGATTGAATGAGAACTGAAACCATGGTTTGTGGACGATGGAACAAAAATTCTGGGAAAGGAAAAATCCTAGAGTCTTCCTCATTCAACTGTGACACAATTTCACAATGGAAAGTTCTTCAATATGTCTAAGTTGAAACTCCCTTGCTGAGACACCAAGGGGACAGCTCTTCAAGAGAATAAGTGAAGATTAAAAACATAGACTCCCTGAGGCAATGTTCCCCTAACTATCGTCCTCAGAACACCAGCAACTTAAGATAGTAATAATAACAGTGAATTCCCTTGAACCCAAAATAAAACTTGAAAAGAGAAAAAGAAAGTAGAGGGATAGGTAAAGATAGCAACAAAGTAAAATATGCTATTTATATAAAATATGTTTTCCCAGCCAGTAGCTTATCTTTTCGTTTTCTCAAAGACGTCTTTTGGCAAAAAATTTTTGATTTTAGTAAGATGTTATTTTCTTTTATGATTGATGTCTTTGCATTCTATTTAATAAAACTTTGCCTTTAACCTGCCCCCAAAAAAATAATAATCATGAGTTTGTGGGGGAAAGATTAACTATAATTAAAGGAATTATAATTAAATGAGTTAAGTAAATACTATATTCCCACCTTAAAAGTTTGAAATGTACTATTAGCATATTAAAATTTTTCGGAAGTCCAGTAGTAATGATGCCCACATAGCCTAGTTTATAAGCAGGGTCCTTCCCCCACCCCCACCCCCAGACATTTGTTATTAGTTCTTGAAATTTCACTGCAAAATGCACATTGGGAGATAGTGCTTAAATCCCCAGGCCAATATCTTTATTTTATGATTAAGGAATTTAGAAAGACTGTAACTTGCAAATGTTTTGTACGGAAAAGTTATCAACCCTTCCTGAACAAAAATATCACTTTTTTTATGCTTTGAAATTGCAGATCAATTCCCTTTTGCAGGGAAGAATTCTCTCATTTTGTGCACTTGTCCCTAAAATATAGGAGCTGCTTAAAAATAATTCACCTACATTGGAAGCCTGTGATCCCAGCTTAAATCTAGGCCCATCTCAGATCACCCCCTTCAGTCAGCCAGTGCCTGGTGGTGTGAGCTTGTGTGTGACTCCGCCATTTACACACAGTGGGTAGGTGTGAAGAGGCCTGGCACACAGCCATGTCAGGGCTAAAAGGAGCTTAGAGATCATCAGCCCTGATGCCTTCACTTTATAGCAATAAGGGAACTGTTGCTTCAAGAGGGAAGTTGGCATCCCCTAAAAGACAGTTCATTCGTAGCCAAGCCAAGACTTACCTGAATCTCTCCTGACTGCCTCTCCCGCCTCCTCTACATTCACCTTCCCCACGATTACGCAAACCTGCTCCCTGACCTGCAGACTAGAAAACTGGACTCGGCCGGCAGAAGCACTTGCTTACCTAAGAGTATGCCGAAGCCAATTTACTGTTAATGCCGAGTTGCTTTATTCTAAGTGCAAAGGTGAAATGATTTCCACTCCTGACAGCTCTGGAAGAATAACGGGAGCATGGAGAAACACTGTCTTTGCCGATGCCCCAACTCAGTCTTCTCCTCTGTACAGATCCATCAAGTTCCAGGTAACTCTCCTGCGATGTGCATAAGGTTAAGGATTTAGCTAAAGATGAAAAGGATATCATTTAAAAGCAAAAGCTATGAAGAATTCAATACAAATGTCCTAGGAGCTTACAGCTCTCTCTGTATGTGGCGGTAGATTTTAGCATTGAAATTTGATTTTTTTTCCACTTTGGGTTTTTATTTTATATCCATCACTTGACAAGGATTAGCTCCTTCTCTTCATTCACCCCCTGGGAGCATTTAAATGATACTTTGTTCTTGAAAATGAGCATTTTTACTTTTAGCTATTGATTTCAGAGTTCTGTGAACTTTCCCTTGAAGTCATTTCCTCAGACCCCTCTACAAGCTCAGGGACTCTCATCCCTATTCCACATAGGGTCACATTTCAGCAGATCTTCTGCCCTCCTGGTCCTCCTGGTGCCTGACCCCCAGGAAATAAGGAGCATGTTGCATTGAGATAGCCATTATGTATCTCCACTCACCAGAAACACCATCGCCAGGTGGCAGGGATACAGGATGACAAGAAAACAATCCCATCTTTCATTTCCCAGCTTCTGTCACCCTCACCCTCCAACCTGAAAACGGACCAGAAAAATCCAGTGAGAAAAGGTTAGAGAGCCTCTGTACCAAGGTGACGAGGAATCGCAAAGTCCCACTGTTGCCTGCCTGGAGAGAAAGCGTTCGAGTGAAAGAGAATAAATCGTATTCACCAAGCAAATCATTCATCTTGACTGTTTAGGGCAATTCCCTTTTGATATTTTTGTTTTCTGTAAGCTTGGCCTAGCCTTTAAAAAAAAAAAAGAACTGTCATTTCTATTCAATTAACTGCTTCTCCCTCTGACTTTAAATCAAGGGCAGTGTCTGTTCAATTTAATTACTTTCCAAAGAGGCTGTGTGGTAAAGCAGCCACCACGAAAGCAAAAGAGCCATATGGTGCTTTACAAGGCAAGAATTCGATATAATTTAAGGATATTCTCCTAACAGGAAATGCAATAAAGCTGATTTCCCCCCTGCTGTTTTTCTAGCCACTTGACATATAATATGTTTGTAGGTCAAGATTTCAGCTGAACAATTCAAAGCAAGTAAAATGAGGAGAGTGTCATTTACCTATGGAAGGTCTACAAAAGAGAATCATTGAAGGCCTTGCTGTCCCAACTGTTCTGATTCTGTGTAAAAAGTGACCTTTTTATTTAAGAAGAGTGCTTATTTTTGTTATGTACATGCACAAAATTTTCAGATATAATGGCATTAATAATCGCTTCACTTTTACACTGTTGGTGGGAATGTAAATTAGTTCAACCATTGTGGAAGACAATGTGGAGATTCCTCAAAGATCTAGAACCAGAAATACCTTTTGACCCAGCAATCCCATTACTGGATATATGCCCAAAGGAATATAAATCATTCTATTACAAAGATACATGCTTGCATAAGTATCTTTATGCATATATTCACAATAGCAAAGACATGGAATCAATCCAAATGCTCATCAACAATAGACTGGATAAAGAAAGTGTGGTACATATACATCATGGAATACTATGCAGCCATAAAAAGGAATAAGATCATATCCTTTGTAGGGACATGGATGAAGCTGGAAGCCATTATCCTCAGCAAACTAACACAAGAACAGAATACCAAACACCACATGTTCTCACTTATAAGTGGGAACTGAACAACGAGAACACATGGACACAGGGAGGGGAAAAACACACATTGGGGCCTGTCTGGGGCTGGGTTGGTGGGAGGGAGAGCATTAGGAAAAATAGCTAATGCACGCCAGGCTTAATACCTAGGTGATGGGTTGATAGGTGCAGCAAACCACCATGGCACAGGTTTACCTGTGTAACAAACCTGCACATCCTACACATGTACCCCAGAACTTAAAATAAATTTTTTTAAAGGCTGGGGACCCAAATGTCACTTTAAGTAATAAACAGAATACCTTTTGGTTTAAACAAGAATTGCTTCAACATTACGAAACAAGATTAGGCCAGAATTGTGACGCTGAAGGGGAAAAATTGCAGAAATATAGTATGGCCAGAACACCAACACCCTAATTCTAAGCTTGACTTGGACACCAACGAGCTGTGGAACGCTGAGCAAGTGGCTTTGCTTCTCTGTGTCTGTGTTACCATCTGTGAAAAGAGGGACCTCCATTAAATCAACACTAGGACTGTGTCTGTAACATTCATTAAGACTATCGGATGACAGCACGGCACCTACCAACTGCCAGTTACAGTCTAAAATGAAGCACTCCCCTCCCCCCAGCAGAAGAATCAGCATGAGGACAGCTTCAAGCAATGACATAAACCTAGAGTATCCACAAAGACGTAACTTAGAGGGAAGCCACCTGAGAAGGAGTTGCTCGCTCTGTGGCTAGACTCTGGGGTGCAGTGGCATGATCTCAGCTCACTGCAACCTCCGACTCCCCAATTCAAGTGATTCTCCCACCTCAGCCTCCCAAGTAGCTGGGATTACAGGCACACACCACCATGCCCAGCTAATCTTTGTATTTTTAGTAGAAACGGGGTTTCACCATGTTGGACAGGATGGTCTCAATCTCCTGACCTCATGATCCACCTGCTTCAGCCTCCCAAAGTGCTGGGATTGCAGGCATGAACTACTGCAACCGGCCAGAGTGGCTTTTTTTAATTAATGGTATCATAGGCTCCAGAAAAATGCCGGTCAAAAGATGAAATGGAATGTTAAGGCATAAGGAATTGCACTTTTAACTGTTAATTTACATGGTGTAATCGGATATGCTGGGATTCAATATATTCTGTCCTTGGGTAAAATTTTTCATTTATGTACACTGTACATAATACAAAATTTGTATTACATAATTTGTAACAAGGTACATCATTTCACCCAAGTTATCTATAGTCTTATGTAGAATCCTCAGTTTGTTCTGTCTACATTAGATAACTACTTAAGATTATAGGAAGCAAGTGAGAATCAAAGAAATATACACACGTTTTTAGTAGAAAATTCCCCTTGCAGTATACCAGCCAAAAATGATGGATTATCTAGTAAATCAAAAATTAATTAGATAGTTTCAAATTACTCAGTAGGTCTTTTCCATGTCTTCATATATGTTCACCCCTGAATAAAAATGTCACCCTTTTATTCAAATGATAATGATGTGTTGAATGATAATGATGTGTTTTGTGAGTTCAACACAAAAGTGATCCACCACTTAGGTGTAAAATCCCAAGACAGATTATGCTCTTTAGGCTTAGGTTAAGTTTGAATTAATCAAAATCTTAGGCATGTTCTGTGTAATAATATATATATATATATATATATTTAATGTAAATGACTCAAGGGGACCTTAATCTATGGATTCTTAGTCTTTCCAGGTCTCAAGTTCTGTCCATCATTTTTTCTTCATGTTGGTATATTATTGTATGAATTTGATTCAAAGGCTGGGTAAACCATGCTCTTGCCCATTTTCTGTGTGGCTCTGTTCTTAGCTGTCATTAGCCTTTATTAGCCAGGCACAGTGGTTTACACCTATAATCCCAGCACTTCAGGAAAGCAAGGTGGGTGGATTGCTTGAGCCCAGGAGTTCGAGACCAGCCTGGGTAACATAGTGACACTCTGTCTCTCAAAATGAAGACAAACTAGCTGGGCATCATGGTGCACATCTGTAGTCCTAGCTACTCAGGAGGCTGAGGTGGAAGGATCACTTGAGTCCAGGAGGTCAAGGCTGCAGTGAGTCATGATTGCACCACTGCACTCCAGCCTGGGGGGAAAAAAAGCCTTGGTTTAACTCATTAAATGAAGATGAGGTAAGGGCATGAGATAGAGAGAAATCTTTGTAAAATGAATCAGTTGGGCTGGGGGCGGTGGCTCATGCCTGTAATCCCAGCATTTTGGGAGGCCGAGGCAGGTGGATCACCAGAGGTCAGGAGTTCAAGACCAGCATGGCCAACATGGTGCAACCCCGTCTCTACTAAAAGTACAAAAATTAGCCAAGTATGTTGCCAGGCACCTGTAATCACAGCTACTCAGGTGGCTGAGGCAGGAAAATCGTTTAAATCTGGGAGGCAGAGGTTGCAGTGAGCCAAGATAGCGCCACTGCACTCCAGCCTGGATGACAAGAGCAAGACTCCATCTCAAAAAAAAAAAAAGAATCAGTTGATAGTACAGCCTTCCAACAGAACAGTAAATAATTTAAGACACTATCCAAACACCTCCTGGAAAAGATGTTCTACTACCTACTCCAATTTTAAACAATTTTGATAATATAAAACAAAATAGCAAATTTGAGTCTTTGTTGTTGTTATTAGAGATAGGGTCTTGCTCTGTTGCCCAGGCTGGAGTACAGTGGCACAATCATAGCTCACTACAGCCTCAAATTCTTTGGCTTAAGGGAGCCTCCCACTTCAGCCTCCAAAGTAATTGGGACTGCAGGCTCACACAACCATACCTGGCTAAATTATTTTTACTTTTTGTAGAGACAGGGTCTCAATATATTGCCCAGGCTGGTCTTAAACTCCTGGGCTCAAGCAATCCTCCCCACTTGGCCTCCCAAAGTGCTTGGATTACAGGTGTGAGCCACCGCACCTGGCCAAATTTGAGTCTTTTATACAGTTATTTCCCATGAATGGCAGATAACTGTAACTTTTATGTATGTGATTGCTCTAAATTCACAACATGTATTTAGGCTCTGTAAATCAAATATGGATTTTCTCTTTGCCTAAATGCATCAACCAAATGCCAGTGGAAAATATCAACCAATTAATTAATCAAAAACGTATCTTGTCAGTGCTGCTCTGGGCACTATCATATTTGGTCTATATCCAAGCAGGTTTATTATATATTTGAAGATATAGGGCTAAAATACTTTTTTTAATTATACATATTATATTCATAATGATATGCACCTATGACACAGAGTGCAAGAGTTTAGAAGGGAAAAAGAATAAGTGCACATGAAAAGAGATCACATGATGTGTGTTCATGCCATGGAAACTTTTTATTGTATATTTAATATAGTTTTATGTTTTCATAAAATAGGCTTTATATAGCACTTGCTATATAAAGGAGCCCTGTCACTTGACATGCATCTTCAGAGAAGACTCCAAAAGATCAAAAGAAGGTAGATTTTTATCCTAGGTGAAGATACTTAACAGTAAAGTCGACTAAGGCTTGTCTCTTAACTGGATAGAACAGCCAAAGCAAAGGACAGTCTATGTGAGACCAAGGCTGATGAATGACTAGAAAGAGAAGACAAATCCCAATGGGGCTTTGGGCACTGGGTTTGCTACCATCTCAGATTTGGGGTCCATTTCCAGAATAAGAATTTAGAGCTGAGAAAGAAAGAGTTGTTTTTGTCCAGTCTGAAGGTAAGATTACATTAAATCATGACTAACAGCATGACAAAATTTGATTACAAAAGTAGACATTTTGAGTTTAAGTTTATTTTACATAGTTATTATGCATTATGTGTTTGTGTGTGTGTGTGTGTATGCTTAAAAAAAAAAAAAAAAAGGAAAAGGCTGGGTGTGGTGGCTCAGGCCTGTAATCCCAGCACTTTGGCAGGCTGAGGTGGGCGGATCACTTGAGGTCAGGAGTTTGAGACCAGCTTGGGCAACCTGGTGAAACCCTGTCTTTACTAAAAAATACCAAAAAATTACCTGGGTATGGAAATGCATGCCTGTAGTCCCAGCTACTTGGGAGGCTAAGGCAGAAGAATTGCTTGAACCTGGGAGGCAGAGGTTGCAATGAACTGAGATCATGCCCCTGTGCTCCAGCCTGGGTGATAGAGTGAGACTCTGACTCAAAAAACAAATAAAAAGAAAAAGAAGGAACAGAAATTGTAGCATTAAATGTAGACTACCCCAGACCTAGATCTACTAGGAGAATCTTCTTTTTGATTTTTCAAGACATGATCTCCCTGTCACCCAGTCTCAGTGCAGTGGCACAATCACAGCTCACTGCAGCCTCCACCTCCTGGGCTCAAGCCATCCTCCCACCTCAGCCTCCTGAGTAACCAGGACCACAGGCATGCATACCACATCTGGCTAATTTTTTATTTTTTGTAGAGACAGGGTCTCACTATGTTGCCCAAGCTGGTCTCAAACTCCTGGAAGCAAGCAATCCTCTTGCTCCAGCCTCCCAAAATGCTGGGATTACAAGTGCGAGCCACCGTGCCTGGCCAAACGGGAGAATCTGTACAATCAGGAGCACGTGCTCAAAAGCATCTCCTGCATTCTGTTAACCCGATTTCTTTGTCCTGGGTAATAGCCCCCCAAATACTGAATTTACCGAAATGTATAAAAGTGACCAAAATGAATGTGAAGTTGTTGCCCTTGTAATTACCAGATTTTAAAGTCCAAATAGTGAATCAGCACAAGACAGAGCATTTCCTGGTATAACCAGGTATAAACTCTCCACCAGGCAGTCCCAGAGAGCTCCTGGCCAGAGGCCCCTCCCCATGCACTCCCACTTCCCCCACCCGTGGCCCGCCCCTCACCTTCCACTGCGTCCAGCTTGCAGGAGCTGTCCCTGCATTGGTCCAGCCAGGGCTGTAACCTAATGCTATGAATTCTCATGGGAGACAGCTCTGCTCTGTAGCTGCCCACATGTTCTACACGATCGCAACAGGAGGTACCGCACTTCTCATCCATTTTTCATGTTGCATCAGCTTCACGTGACAAAATAATTTGCTGTTGATGTGGGGTTTTATTACATTCCCCTTCCCAAGACGTATCCATTTTTTCTGCTTCTAAATATTACTTCAGCGAATGTGCATTGTACATGAAATCAGCCTATCTTGCCCACGCTGTGTTTTTGCCATTTACCCTTCCACAAAACATGATTATTACATTTAATCCTATCCTCAGGGCCACTACTTTACATTTCCTTTCAAAATTCTCAAAGTGACTCAAAGTTTGCTGGTGCTCCTGATCTGTGTAAGACCTTGAGCCGTCTTTGTCCTCAGCGCCCATTTCTGTATTCCACTATGCCCAGTCACTTTTGACATACTGGTTCAAGTCATTTACCTGTAGATTAATTCAAAAGACTAAAAATACCATTGGAATCCCAAGCTTTTTCTGCTAGTTATACTTGCGGGGTTTTCGTTTTGTTGTGTTTTGCTTTGGTTTCTTGCCACTCACTACAAAGTGGAAATCTGGACAAATTCCTTTTAATGCATTTTCTTTATTGCTCATCTTACGTAAATCAGTTGCCCTTAACCTAGATACTAGCTGCCAAATGATTACAAAGAGGTTAATGCGTTACCTTTGAAAGAAGAAAATTATTTTTCTTTCTCTAGACCCACCATGTTTTTCTAGTGGCCAAGACACATTAGAAAGCTTCTCGATAAGAGGATTTTGTATTAGAAATATCTATTTATATACCTATTTCTACCACTAGGCATGACACGTGATTGGCCTTAGTCCATGGTGGATGAATGAACGACATTCCCTGCACTCTCACCACTGAATGTCATGTGACCAGCCATGAACCATAAACCTGAACTTTGAGCAACTCAGTGGCATCCTACAATGATCTTTGGCCCTTATATTTATGAGTTTGTTTGTTTGGTTCAAAACCATAAAGACACTAAGAGCTTCTTTGTCTAAGCTTTATATATAACAGAGGAATCTGCAGGAAAGGTAAGAACAGAAAGTTGGCATTTTGATTTTAAAAATTGGAAGGCACCTTGGATTTCTTCAAGGGAGCAGCATGGGGTGAACACTTGGCTGCTATTTACATGTACCCGGATGGCAGGCCTCCTGCAGCCCTGCAGTGTGTCTTCCATGCCATCCTCAGGGGACAGGAAAACATGAGAATCATCACTGGTGTCCCACACAGATTATCATCAGGGTATTGACACTCCTCACTGTCCAGAGTCCATAATGAGCCACTGCTCTGCAAAACAGAACTACTCTTTACTGATTCTGATGCTAAAAACCTCTAGCCCTGCTCCCTTCCCTGAACCAAATTCATATAAATGTCTAGCAGCTTTTTACAGAAACATTCAGGTGGCTGCAAGTTGTAGTATAGTTGTCCGGTTTATGCATTGCACAAGGCGGCTGACACAGGGGAAAGTGCAGTCTGAGGTTCAGCCTGTGTTTTGTTTGCCAAGCCCTGAGCCTTGGCACTGGTATGTGTCCATGTGGAAGAAGAGACGCTTTTTCCCCACAAAAAGGTGTAGTCTCCTTGCCAAGCCATGTGCCTGTAGGCCCAAGGATGCCTAGGGGTGGCTCCTTGTTCTAAATTGACTGTCCAGAAGAGAACCTTGCTCTAGTTCACACACAGGTTCAGTATAGGCAAGTGGAAGCCTGGGATGGTCATTCAAAGTGTGTGCATGTAGCCGGGTGTGGTGGCTCACACCTGTAATCCTAACACTTTGGGAGGCCGAGGCGGGCAGATCACTTGAGTTCCAGAGTTCGGAAACAGCCTGGCCAACATGGTTAAACCTTGTCTCTAATAAAACTGCAAAAAAATTAGCCAGGCATCATGGTGGATGCCTGCAATCCCAGCTACTTGGGAGGCTGAGGTAGGAGAATTGCTTGAACCTGGGAGGTGGCTGTTGCAGTCAGCTGAGATCACAGCACTGCACTCCAGCCTAGGTGGCAGAGCAAGACTCCATCAAAAAACAAAAAGTGTATGCATGTGTGTCTGTGTGCATGTGTGTGTGCATGCATGTGTGTGTGCATGCACGTGTGTGCATGCGTGTGCGTGCATGCGTGTGAGTGTGCGTGCATGTATGTCATGGTGGGGGTGCTGCCCAGGGGTACTGTGCACGTGAGCCCACCACTTCATTCCTTCGCACTGTGTCAAGGGCACAGCCTTATTTCCTCAGCCTTGTCTTGGGCATCACACACACATGTTCTCAAGGTCATCAGAGAATATTCATGCCCTAACTCTCCTCTTTTTCTTTCCAGATTTCTCTTCTCATAAACTCCACCCCATCTGAAGTCCCTTTTCCCTTGTGCCCCGCGATGCACCAACTCTACCTGGAAAAGGATAGAGTGCTAAGTTCCTGCTCCCTCCTTGCATCTCGCATATTCCAAGATTGCAGGTATTTGCTGAATGCCAGTAGCATTCTACTAGCAATCCACTGATGCATAATGAATTACCAAAACTTAGCAGCTTGAAACGGCAAAGATTTTTCTCAAAATGAACAAGTTCTCTGTGGGTCTAGAATCCAGGAGTGGATGAGCTGGGTCACTCATGAAGTTGGAATCAATCAACCAGGACGCAGTCATGGGACAGTTCAACAGCGTCCCCCAAGCTCCCCCACATGGCATTGGCTCTAAGTTCCTCTCTGGCTGTTGGTTTGAGGCCTTAGTGTCTTCCCACCAAGGCCTCTCCCTAGAGTGGCAGCCAGCTTACCCAGAAGCCAGGGACCCAAGAGGGATGGAGAGGCAATGAGTGGAGAATGCTCAAGGTAGAAGCCCAAGTCTTTTATAACCTAATCTCAGAAATGGCACATCACTTCGCCAAACACTGTTGGTCTTGCAGACCAGCCCTGATACAATGGGCAGCAGGGGCCCCTGGGGGCCACCTTGAAGCCTGGCTACTACAGAGTCATTCTCAGCCCATGCCTGCTAGCTCACCAGGGCAGGAAGGCAGAGGCAGGCAGTGAGCCCACATTCTTCAACTAGGTGTTTACAACACTATGAAGCAAATCCCAGTTTTCTTTTCATTTTGTTTTGTTTGTTTGTTTATTTGTTTGTTGCTCGTTTTGGAAATGGGGTCTCACTCTGTCACCCAGGCTGGAATATGGTAGCATGATCATAGCTGACTACATCCTCGACTTCCCAGGCTCAAGCAATCCTCCTGCCTCAGCCTCCCAAGTAGCTGGGACTACAGGCGTGCACCACCACGCCCAGATTGTTTTTGTTCTCATTTTTCAGATGAGAAAACAAACTCTAGGAATGAAATAATTCATCCACAGACCCAAAACTAATAGTAGACAGAATCCATTCCATCCTTTCCTAAGAACAATGTCTCACCTTTGGAATATTTTTCTCTGCCCTCCTGCCCACCCTTGGTACGTTTACCTGGGTTATCATCCTACTCAAAATAGTTCCATCTTTCAGTTGAATAGAAGAGAGGATCCCATCTCCTCATAATGGCATTCAAACTCTTCTACAGTTTTGCTAGAACCTACCTGTGACAATTGATCTTGTGTGTCCACTTCGCCTGGCCATGGTGTCTGGATATTCAGTCAAATAATATTCTGGGTGCTTCTGGGAGGGTGTTTTGGAGTGAGATTAATAGTTAAATCAGTGGACTTTGATTAAAGCAGATCACCCTCCCTAATGTGGGTGGGCCTCATCTGATCAGTTGAAGACCAGAATAGAACAAAACGGCTGAACTTGCTCAAGCAAGAGGAGCTTCTCCACAGACACCTTCAGACTGCATCTGCAGCAGGAGGTCTTCCTGGTTTCCCAGCAGACAGCCTTCATGCTCAAATGACAGCTCTTTCATGAGTCTCCAGCCTGCAGACCTCCATCATCAGATTTTGGACTCACAAGACATCCACAATCACTTGAGCCAACACACACACTCTCACACTCACACTCACACACACTCACACTCACACACACACACTCACACTTACACACACATTCTCCAAGTTCTGCTTCTCCAAGAACTGTGACTAATATACTCCTTTCTAGCCTTTCTTTTTACCATGATGCCCATCACCATCTCCTCAGCATCACAGTTGCTGCCCACACACTCACACGCATGGCCACGAGCATACACTCCCACACTCAGGTTCACCCACCCAGGACACTCAGCATTTCCCCAGCATGTCCTGCATCTTCCCATTTCCATGTCTTTGCTCAAACAGCTATGACCTCTCTCATAAATGCCCTCTCTCCTGCCCCCACCCAGTCTGTTCCACACCTATAATCTCACCGTTCTTTGTTGTACATCCTCCACTACAGCA
This sequence comes from Homo sapiens, assembly GCF_000001405.40. Classification (NCBI taxonomy): domain Eukaryota; kingdom Metazoa; phylum Chordata; class Mammalia; order Primates; family Hominidae; genus Homo; species Homo sapiens. The sequence goes on along the minus strand of NC_000010.11, from coordinate 8,170,584 downwards.
TTTATCATTGGGTTCTCCAGTATAAAAGTTAATATTGGCTGGGAACAGTGGCTTGTGCCTGTAATCTCGACACTTTGGGAGGCTGGGGCAGGAGGATTGCTTGAGTCCAGGAGTTTGAGACCAGTCTGGGCAATATAGCAAGACCCAATCTCTAAAAAAAATTCTTAATTAACTGGGTGTGGTGGTGCATGACTCTAGTCCCAGCTACTTGGGAGGCGGAGGCAGGAGGATTGCTTGAGCCTAAGAGTTCAAGGCTGCAGTGAGCTGTGGTCACACCACTGCACTCCAGCCTGGGCAAGAGAGTAAGACCCTGTCTGCAAAAGTAAAATTTTTTTAAAAGTTTTAATGCCTATCTCCAATACTAGATTTGGAGCTTCTGAAGGGCAGGAATGATGCCATTCATCTGTCTTCAGCACACCCCAGTCACAAGTACAGTGCTTTACTCACGAGGACTAAGTATCAATAAATATTTTCAGAACTGAACTCTTCATCAATACTCACTACGTGTTGAAATCTATAGAATCACATCTCATTGTATCCAGGGCAAAATTACACACACACACACACACACACACACACATATAGTATATACATATATAAAGTTATTTATATACATATTATATATACATATATAAAGTTATATATGTATCGAGTGGGACAGATATGCTAATAAATATTTTTTGAAATAATACAGTAAAAGCTCTTGGAGAGGTATTATGTCCTATAATTGCCACTATTTAAAAATGAAATGGGTACACGCTGGAAACATGGTGTGCTCATCTCCTAAAATGGCTCACTTGCTGAAAAGAACTAAAATTCTGCATGAAAAGAAATGTCATCTCCTTAAAAGAATCAATGAGCTGGCAAATCCGTATGGGGTAAAGGGTATAGGAGATGAAGGCCAGGACCTGCCCAAGGTGGGCACTTTCTCATCTACAGCCCCAGAGCAGGGTCTAGGAAGAACAGGAATGCCAGACCCTGAGTTCTCATGACAGGCTAGCCCCAGTGTGGATTTGTAGCTTGAATTTATTGTATCTAAATATTGAGACAGAGAGAGAGAGGAATAAAATTTTTTTAAATACCTCATATTGAGAATGTATTTAAAGTAATCCCAAGATCAATGAAGTACAGTAAGCATATATAAATACTCTCTGAAGAGACTCTGCTTCACCCCCCACATCAAAGAATTACCAAAAATAAAATTCCATGGACCATGAGCAGCTCAGAGGGAAACAGTCACTAAACACTTGATGGAGAAACAGAAGACACAGCAGTCAGAAGAAAAAGATTGTGGAAGTTTTCAGATATTGGAATTATCAGAAGCAGAATATTAAATAATTAAGTTTACTATGTCTAATTAACAAAGGACAAAATTGAAAATATTTGGAGGGCCTAAAAATGTATAAAGAATTATTACACAGATTTGAATAATTAAATAAACCTGTTAAAAATAAAAATAAGAATAATTAAAATTAAAACAAAAGCAGGTATAAGAACAGATTAGACACAGGTGAAGAAAGAATTAATGAACTGAAGGATGATTCTGAAGAAATTATTCAGACTGAAGCAAGAGAGAGAAAGTTACAGAGACAAGAAAGAGAGAATAAGAAAGATGGGGATAAGACAGAAGACTAATAATGCTCCCAATTTTTAGGGTGTAATCAGAGTTCTAGAGGAAGAAAGAAAAGTAATGTAGAAGACACAATATTTAAAAGAGATAATTGAGAAGAACTTTACAGAACTGATAATAGACATCACTCCAATTCAAGAAGACAAGAGAATCTAAAGCAAGATACATAAAATGAAATCCACAGCTAGACATCATAGTGAATGTGCAAAATATCCAAGAAAAAGATTTTTAAAGTAGCCAAAAAGAAATGACAGATAATCCTCAAGGGAGTGACAAACTAACGGCTAGCTTCTCAACTGCAGCAAGAGAAGACATTGAAATTACATCCTTGATGTGCTGGGGGAAAAGAAAAGACTATTAACTTAGAATTCTATACCCAGCAAAAATATCGTCCAAGAATGAGGACAAAACAAAGACATTTTCAGACATGCAAAACCAGAGTCTGCCACCAACAGACCCTACAAAAAAAAATCTAAAGGTTGTACTTCAGGAAAAAGAAAAGTAATTCCAGACTGCAAGAGAGAATCTCTAAGCTTCAAGATGGAATATATTATAATGTGGGAAATCGAAACTAAGACTGCATCAGGCAATTAAAATGTCCTGAGAGGTTTAAAAAATAGAATTAAAATACAAAACAATGATATCAGATAAATTAGGAGAAATATAATTGCAGTTACTGTGTTCTAAGTGTCTTTGAGAGGAAAATGAAGTATCATTTAACTTAGGCATTGTTAAACTAATAAGCATGTTTTAATTTCTAGGCTAGTGACAAAATGGAAATAATATATACAAATTCCAGGTAAAGGAAAAAACAGAATGAGAAAAAAGGCAAGAAATAAGAGAAAGAAGGGACAAACAGAAAATAAAAAGTACTATAAAAGATTTAAACACATATACATGGGCAATTACATTTATAATTCATAGACTAAATGCTTCTCATTAAAAGACAAAGATTGGTAGACCAGTGATATGGTTTGGCTCTGTGTCCCCACTCAAATCTCACCTTGAATTGTAATAATCCCCACATGTCAAGGGCAGGGCCAGGTGGAGATAATTGAATCATGGAGCCAATTTCCCCCATACTGTTCCTGTGGCACCTAATAAGTCTTATGAGATCTGATGGGTTTATAAATCGGAGTTCACCTGCACAAGCTGTCTTGCCTGCTGCCATGTAAGACATGTCTTGCTTCCCTTTTGCCTTCTGCCATGATTGTGAGGCCTCCCAGCCATGTGGAACTGTGAGTCAATTAAACCTCTTTCCTTTATAAATTACCCAGTCTCTGATATGCCTTTATTAGCAGCATAAGAACAGACTAATTCAAGCAGATAAAATGAAATGAAATTTGACCATAAGCTTTTTGCAAACTGCACATCTAAAACAAGATAAAGAGAGGTGAAAAATAAAGGGATGGAAAAGAATATGCATTTAAGTATTGGCCAAAAGAAAAGTATATGGTATAAGATATATTAATCTCAGCTATTTAATTTTTGAAAGATCTCTTCATAAATATGAGAAAATAAAGTCACAAAGAAGATATAATAATTGCATATCTGTTTGTATCTCATAGCACAGTCTTAAAATACATAATGCAGAAACTGACAAAATTGTAAGAAAAAACAATCTAGAATCATAGTGAAAGATTTTTCACACAACTCATTCAATAACTGATATATCTAGCACATAAAAATAAGAAAGAATAAGAAAGTTTTGAACAACATAATAAACAAGTCTTACCTAATAGACACATGTAGGACCCTTCACCCAGTTACCGTGGAATACATGTTCTTTGCAAGCTTGTGCACAGATTGACCATATGCCGAGCTATAAAGCAAGTTTCAGCAAGTTTCAAAGATTATCATAGAGATTCTCATTATCTCACCACAATGTAATTAAGCTACAAGTCAAAAATGAAAAGTTAACTAGAAAACTCTTGGGTATTTGGAAATTAAGAAATGCACTATACACAAATGCCAATTCCAGGTTGATTAAAATACCTAAATTTATAAGGCAAAACTATACAACTTGTAAAAGGAAAAATAAGCAAATATCTTAATGACCTCAAGGTAGAAAATACTTTTTAAAACATGACATATAAAAACAAACCATAAAAAATATGGTTGTTAAATTCAACCACACTGCAATGAAGAACTTCAGTCCATCAGAAGACACCATACAGAGTGAAAAGACTAAGAATAAAGATCTTTGAAATATCAGCTGGGCTCAGTGGCTCATGCCTGTAATCCCAACGCTTTGGGAGTCTGAGGCTGGCAGATCACTTGAGCCCAGGTGTTTGAGACCAGCCTGGGCGACATGATGAAACCCCATCTCTACAAAAAAATACAAAAATCACCCAGGCGTGGTGGCACACACCTGTAGTCCCAGCTACTCAGGAGAATAATTTGTGCCTGGGAGGCAGAGGTTGCAGCGAGCCAAGATCATGCCACTGCACTCCAGCCTGGGCAACAGAGCGAGACCCTATCTCCATAAATAAACTAAATAAATAAATTTTACATAATTTCCATGTGTCCTGAAATATTCTCTCTCAAAAAAAAAAAACGTGATATGCACTATCATGAGAAAGGTGATGTGGTTAGAAACAGGGAGGAGGAGTGAGAAGCAATAAAGTTATAGATAAGCTCTGAAGGCTAAGCCAACAGGATCTGCTGACAGTTTAAATGTGGATGCGGGAGAAAGAAAAAAGTCAAGGATAACTCCATGATTTTTGACCTATGCAAAGGTAGAATTAGCATCCACCAAGGAGCCATGAGTGGGGCTACAGCTGGGTTGTGTTTGGAGGAGTTAGCCTTGGATAGAAGTTTGTGATGATCGTGAGACAGTCAGGTAGAGAAGTCGAGTTGGCAACTGAAAATATGAGTCTGGAGTTCATGAGACAGATCTGTGCTAGGGGTATAAATGAATTTTGGCCTAAGAAATGAAAATAGTAGCATTTCCATGAGCTGAGATGAGGAAGGTTGTAGTGGGAGTAGGTTTGGAGAGGTGATCATTTGGATGTCAGTTTTAGACAGGTTAAATTTGAAAACCCAAGTGGGAATCTTGAGGAAGCAGGTCAAAATATGAGTTTAGAGTTCAAAAGAGAGGTCCAGTCTGGAGTTGTAAATTTTGGAGTCACCAGTTTCTAGATGATGCTTAAGTGCATGAGGCAAGATGAATCACTAAGGCACAAGTATGGATGGAGAAAATAAGGGGCCAGGCACAGTGGCTCACACTTGTAATCCCAGCACTTTGGGAGACTGAGGTGGGCAGATCACTTGAGGTCAGGAGTTCGAGACCAGCCTGGCCAACATGGTGAAACTCTGTCTCTACTAAAAATACAAAAATTAGCCAGGCATGGTGATGGGTGCCTGTAACCCCGGCTGCTCGGGAGGCTGAGGCATGAGAATCGCTTGAACTTGGGAAGTGGAGGTTTCGGTGAGCCGAGGTCGTGCTGTTGCACCCAAGCCTGGGTGACAAAGCAAGACTCCGCCTCAAAAAAAAAAAAAAAAGAGAGAGAGAGAGAACATAAGGGGCCAAGAGAAGAGCCTTAGGGCATCCCAACATGAAGAAGCCAGGGAGGTGGGGTAGAAGAAGAGCCAGAGTAGGACACCATGCAGGAGGCCAAGAGTAAAAGCATGTCCAGGAGTGATCCACTGTGCCAAAAGCCATCAGCCATGATGAAAATGTCTTCACAACAATTACAAAATATTTGGGGCGAGTCATTGAAGACAACACCAAATATTAAAATCCCAAACCTAGGCTATTTCATTCATTTTTTCTAAGTTTTAGTTTAAGTTCAGGGGTACAAGTACAGGTTTGTTAGGTAAACTTGTGTCTCAGGGGGTTGTTGTACAGATTATTTTATCACCCAGGTATTAAGCCTAGTACCCATTAGTTATTTTTCCTGATCCTCTCCTTCCTCCCAACTTCTACTCTCCAACAGGTCCCAGTGTGTGTTGTTCCCCTCTATGCGTCCATGTGTTCTCATCATTTAGCCCCCACTTATAAGGGAGAACATGCAGTATTTGGTTTTCTGTTTCTGTGTTAGTTTGCTAAGGATAATGGCCTCCAGTTTCATCCATGTTCCTGCAAAGGACATAATCTCATTCTTTTTTATGGCTGCATAGTATTCCATGGTATATATGTACCACATTTTTTTATCCAGTCTATCACTGATTGGCATTTAGTTTGCTATTGTGAATAATGCTGCAATGAACATATGTATGATTGTGTCTGTATGATAGAATGATTCATATTCCTTTGGGTATATACATTCTTTACATTGAACTTCTTAGTCTCATTCTTAATGATTCCATAAAGTCCACTGCTCTGTAAAAGTTGGTTCAGTATTTAAATATAAATCTAATCAGTCAAACACCCAGAGTGATTAACAGAGAATAATTAAGGTTGCCAAGCACAAAAAAGATCCAGATACTATCCAAAGGCCTGAACCGAGAAGATACAAAAGGAAGGGAATTGCAAACTACTTGTTGAAAAAACGTCTCCTATTCGTCTGTTTAGCATCTACTTGATAGTGAATGTACTCTCCTTTGAGAAGATTTTAACATTGCATTTCAGTAGGAATACCCTTAAAAGCAGCATTAATACCTATGATTCAGGAAGACCTTTTTCAGAAATACCCAGAGCAATGAACCATTGTCTCTCTTCTCCCTAAGAGTCTCCCCTCCTCCTCATCTTCGGTCCCAGAGAGTATTTTCCCAAGCCAGCTTAGGGAGCAGGACTTTGCTACCTTGACAAAAATATTCCATTACCTTTAGGTGACCTTTCTCTGAGACTCAGAAATTGAGTGCTTCAACTGTAGGTCAGGCACAGGATGACTTTACTAGTGCTCCCTGAAAGACAGGGCTGATGAATGGCATTTGAACCCTGCTTCCCTAATCCTTCAGGCAGAATTAGAGGCTCTCCGTAAGGGTAATCCTGAATGATTCATGGTGCCTGCTTCAGCACAGTCACACATCATAGAAATACAAATTGACAGTTCGCACACATTGGCCTCATGGTGGTATTTACTTAAAATCCTCTCAAGTACACTTCCAATGACTGTTGTGGGGACAGCTCTCTCTGGAAGGCTAACAAACAAAGAAGCACTAACTTGTCATATCTGGCCACCAGACTTGCAGGTGCACAGGAGCCTTTGGAATATTCTGCTCTTTTTGTGCCACTTGGCACTTACCTCTCATTGGTTCAGGCAATTGGTTTGTTGGTTGACTGCAAGGATAATCCTTTAAAAAACAAAGAAACAAAAAAGGTAGTAAAACTGAGACCTTTGGATAACCCCTTTGGCTTGTCCTGGAGTTTAAGTTGGACCAAAAAAATCAAGGCAATGAAACAGTAACAGAGGTGAGGAAGAGATGGACTGTTAATAACATGGGAGGAGAAAACAGGACACACTTGAGTGTGTTCATAAGCTCTTGTTGGTGAATCTGTAAAGAGTAAAATTGAGATAGAGATCCCCAAGAAAACATATAAGTCCATTATTTTTCAAAAAAGAAAAGGTGGGTAGTATTGAAAAACCAATAGGCAAGTGTCAACTGTTTAATATCTACATTTGTGTTCTCCTCACCAGCAACCCCACTGCTTCTGGGTCAAAAACAGAGGCTGGGTGCGGTGGCTTATGCCTGTAATCCCAGCACTTTGGGAGGCCGAGGCAGGCAGATCATGAGGTCAAGAGATCAAGACCATCCTGGCCAACATGGTGAAACCCCATTTCTACTAAAAGTACAAAAATTAGCTGGGCATGGTGGTACGCACCCGTAGTCCCAGCTACTTGGGAAGCTGAGACAGAACCCGGGAGGCAGAGGTTGCAGTGAGCTGACATTGCGCCACTGCACTCTAGCCTAGCAACAGAGCGAGACTCCTTGTATTTAAAAAAAAAAAAAAAAAAAGGAAAGAAAGAAAGAAACACTTGTCACTTTGAGAAATATTAAGGTCGCCCACACAGTCGCATCCTGATGGCTAACCCTGGATCCAGGAAGAAAAAGAAAGATACAGTATTTAGAAAATCATGGAAGTCATGTCAATAAAATCAGAACCCACTCAGAACTGCATCAGTATCAGCTTTTGCATAGACCCCTTTGGTGGTTAAACACGGTGAGAAATAATATTTTTAATGGCAGTGGGGAGCTTCATTTCCATTGTGTGTACGCCCATCATGTGTTGACTTGAAAGAACTCCCCTTCTCCTTTCTGGCTTTCTCTGACATTCACCCTACAGCTGGCCCCTTTCCTGTCCAGAGTATGAAGCTGCATCCTTTGGAGATTAAGGAGGAAAGAAAACACCACACAAGCAGATCAAGAGGTGGCAAGGCTCCAGGCAAAAACCTACAGGAGAGAAACTGTATTCTTCAAGTCGCCTGTCTTTACCCTTTGTGCATGACCTAATTAGGTTTTTGCCCTTTTCAAATTTTTTTTTTTTACAGGTGTGTCCAGTTTAATAAAAAGGGAAAACGTCATCAGGTGGACACATCCAATCCTTGTCATTCATAACCCCAACCTTCAGATCCTTTCTACCCTCATAAGTTTGAATACAGTCAAGGTAAGTTGGGTCAGAAACTGTTGTTGATTATGATTAAAAAGAGATATAAAACTCAGCACCTCCTTCATTGAAAATAAAGGTTGAGAAACTTGATAAGAAAAAACTAAAATATTCTTATAGCTGCCTGGGAAGATCTTAATCCTTCCACATAGACAGATATCCTCGTATCCACAGGAGCCCATTTGGACTAAAGCCAAACTGAGTCCCTTACTCATTCCCTCTCCGGCTCTTCTTGTGGCTCTTCTTAGACCTTTTGGGAGATTTTGAGTAGCTCCTGTGTCTGTGACTACGGTGAGGATCTGGGGACTTGGAACGGGATCTGTGCCGCCGGTCTCGGGATCTGCTGCGGTGATGTCTTGGACCCTTGCTCGGATGCCTTTCTCGGCGGGAGAAGGGGCTTCTACTTTTGGGAGATCGATTCCGCCTTCTGGGAGACAGACTCCTACTCCTTCTGTAGCACAGTGTGGGAGATGGACGGGGCTTGTCCAAGTCTCCGTAGCTTCTCCGGAGGCGATCAGGTGATGGCACTCTTTCCAACTTCTCATCCTCCTCTTCTTCCTCTTCACTGGACTCCACATCATCTATGTCCTCTTCCAGAGCACTAACTCAAGGCTCCAGTTGCTCAGTTTCCTCTAATACCTAGCGTTTCTGTAGCCGGGGCAGAGTGATATCACAGACTCTCACACTGTGCACCAGTTCATCAATAAACTCATCTACATGCATCAGTTCAAACCCCCATTTCTGTTCTGGCTCTTGATTTTTCGATAGTCATTGTACAAAGGCTCCAAGTACTTGTAGCAATCAATTGCAGTGCCCATCAGCCTCATGTAAAGTGCCCCCAACATGTGGACATACTTGAAATCTTCATTTTCTATAAACTCTGCAGTGATACCTTTCTCGGATTGAATCTGAAGCATCTTCAAGATTAAACACAGAAAGGGTGTTGGTTTTATGTTGCCACCATATTCGCCACCCACAAACATTAACTCCATGGCGTTATCGACTACAAGTTCAGCCATAAGTCCAAAGCACTCCTCTTTCCAGTGCTTGGACTCACAGATTCGCATTCGAATGATCTTCCCCACCAGATATTGAGGGTTGGTGCCGCGGACGCTGTGCGCATCCTTCAGTGTACGGTTAGCCATTTTAGAATGCCTTCGATTCTATTTGCGTCGGGTCCTTTAATGTGTTACATCCAGGTTCAGAAAAAATAAATAAATAAATAAATAAATAAATAAATAAATAAATAACCACCTAGAGGGATGGAGAAAGGTGGAAGAAGTTTCACTAAACAGCTTAGGAGACCATCTTGAAACTGGAAACACTGCAGCGCTCAAATTCTTAAATAAATTCCACTTACTTTTTTTTAAGTAGGCACAATATTTTTATTACGGTTAACTGGTGATCAATCGTTTTTACCATGTAGATAGCCCCTTTGGCTTAGACACACTGTCCTGAAGTTTAGATGGTAGGAAAAAATCCAGGCAATGGAACAGTAACAAAGATGGGGAAAAGATGGACTACTAATAACACAGCAAAAGAAAGCCGGACATGCTTGAAAGTGCTGATAAGCACTAAGATGTGTTGTTGACAGAGCGCCACATCAGTGCTCTACAATCTGCTTACTGCACTCTGATGATTGCATAAACAACCTTCTAAGTGACCTGGTGGTGGGCATCAGGGCTTTCGGGGGTTCTGATTGGTTGGATGTGCTTATGGTTTGATTGGTCTGAAGTTGCACATGTCCAGGGATAAAGAGTATAGGTTAGAGTGGCTGTTCTCACAGAAGAAGTTACCAAATGCTATGGTTTGAATCTATGTCCCCACCCAAATTTCATCTCAACGTGTGATCCCCAGTGTTGGAGGTGTTGGAGATGGGGTCCGGTGGGAGGTAATTGGATCGTGGGGTGGGATTTGTCAGGAATGGTTTAGCACCATCTCACTGGTGCTGTTCTCCTAATAGTGAATTCTCGCGAGATCTGGTTGTTTAGAAGTGTGTGGCACCTCGTCCCTCTCTCTCTTGCTGTTCTGGCCATGAGAAGTGCCTGCTGCCCCTTCACCTTCCGCCATGATTGGAATTTTCCTGAGGCAGAAGCTGCCATGCTTCCTGTACAGCCCGTGGAGCCAGGAGCCAATAAAACCTTTTTCTTTATAAATGACCTAGTCTCAGGTATTTCTTTATAGCAATGTGAGAATGAACTAATACACCAAAGTTTTATATTTTATATCAAACATCTATGCCTCAACCATGGCTCTTTACAAGGTAAAGGTTTCTGAGTCATCCACAGAGCTGACCTCATCCTGAGCCAGAAGCATGTCTAAAGTACTTCTTCTTAAAGCTGAGGTATCTGATATTTACTCTTCAAAACCTACTCTACTTTGTGTTTACTCCTCAAAACCTACTTGTAAAGTGAACCCTCAAAGGTTACACAAGCCCACTCTCTGGCCCTTGAGCCCTTTATGACTAATGCCATACAGCTATAATTAAGCTGTGCTATAATCAACAAGCTGACAATTCAGCCAAAACTTATCCCTGGCAAGAGCTTCTGTATGGCACAGGAAGTGCCATCTGGATGACACAGGAAGTGCCCTTGATTGATGGGTGAAGAAGGATTTGTGGAAAGAAAGACAAGGGAGTAGAAGATGGTGTCATGGAAAAGGTAAAATATGGACTGTGATGTTTCCCCTGTCTCCCCGCTACTAAGTTATAAAGTGTGCGTTCGTGTGTTCAAAGTAACCTAGGGATTCCTAGATATAACTGAGGGTGTGCCAGAGATGGGATGACTGACTGTCAGATTTGGAAAGAATGCAAGTAAGAGCAGCAGAGGTGAGCTCTCAGGAAAGTGAGACCCGGAAGTTTAATTGCCCGTGAAAGAAACCAGAGTAGAAGAGCTAAACCAAGAAGTTTCCAGCAGCTTCGTTCGCCATGAGCGAGGTCACCAACAAAAACGGGGAATTTGATGACAGAGGGGATTTTGGCTCCCAGGTGCCACTGCCTGACTTTATGTTAATTTTATGTACATTTTCTTCCCCTCATGTTTCTGACAAAGGCTAACAAAATAATTGTTTTCACCACACCAGTCCCATATCTCAGATAGTTCTAGAGGCATTGGGAAAAGAGAGGGAATAGGGCAAGGAAGATTTCAACACTGAAAACCCAGAACCAACACAAATACTAAAGTCAATGTTTTCCTGGCCAGGATTTAGTCTTGATCTTGTTAGAAGATCTTGTAGTACAGTAGACAAATTTGGCCACCTCAGCCTTTTTAATAATTTGAACCTTTGAGTTTACTTTGGGAAAATACCAACTGTCACCATTCTCAAAGTGTTCATGACAACATTCCATCCTTTAACTACAGTCCTTCATCTGCAGTCTTTTGGTGTCTTTATTTTTCAAGCAGACAAAGCGTGGTACTCAGAAGAGCAGAATCATTTGCAGTTCAATGGAAATGTACAAATAATTAAAAGACATTTTAAAGCTCCACGGGAAATGCTACAGTGGAGCTCAAATAGTGTTTTACTTCCTATATATCTCGGAATATGAGTCAACCCAGCCTAGAGGTTGACCTGAATTCTGGCATAATTACCTATATAAAAAGTTGGATTTCATCCCAAACTCAATAAATTGCCCTTCTGATGGCAGCTGCTGCCTTCCAAGGCTGGGAGATCTCTAATTCCCACTAGAGAGACAGCCCTGGCAGGAATCAAGGCTGGCTGAGGTCATCTCTGCCCAGTCATTCCTGACTAAACACAGCATGGAACTGGAGGAAAGAACGGGGCTGAGGGTGCACCCAGGAGAGCAGTCAGCGTTCACCAGGGCTCTGTGTTGCACACTCTAACTAGCCTAAGCAGAAAATTTATTAAAGACTATTAGGAAGCTCACACAAGTTCCTGGAGAGCCAGAGAATTAGGCTCAAAAGGTAACCAGCCAAGAGCAGTCCTCAAATTGTCCTCCCTCTGCAAACTGCTGAAGGTACCGTCCCAGAACACTGGGTCCACCACAGCACTTTCCAGAGAGGCTCAGTGTCTCTACCACCCTCCCCAGCAAAACGGAAACTGTGCCCATCTCCAGCCTCTGAGACTCACATCTAAATCCAAGCCTCACGTGTGGCCATGTCCAGCTGATAAAATCCTAGCTGGAAAGGAGCTGAGAGGGCATCTTCTGGCTTCTTTCCACCTGTTCACCTCGAGGCAGAGATCATGGTGTGGGAAAGTACAAAAAATTAAACAGACAGACATGATAGACAGATATAGAAGATAGATAGACAGAGAGAGAGAGAGAGAGAGATGATAAATAGATAGATATAGATATTAGATAGATATATAACATATATCTGTGCTAAAAGGGAATGAGCTCTCAAGCCACAAAAAGATATAGAGATGTAGGTACATTTTCATTCTTGCAAATTCATGGTAATATTGTGAATAAATTAACATAAGAATCCATCTTCTCCCTCTGCAATTTTAATTCACACTTATTTGTTCAAATAATCATTTCCTGTAAGAATGTAAAATCCTAGTGGGTAGGAATCTTTGGAGTTTTTTGTGAAGCTTTCCAAACCTAACAGCACAATTCCAAGCACACAGATGTGCAACAAATATCTGTTGCAGATATTCTTTTAATTTAGATTTAATTTAGATTGATTTCATGTCTACTAGACATTGAGGATACAAAGGTAAACAAGACAGAGTCCCAGAATCTAACCTGCTTTTGGTGGCTACTGAACCTGGGTCTCACGGGAAGGATAGTAGTCACCAAGACCCTGTGAGAGGCACTTTGACAGCAGAAGGACAGGATGGAAAGTTCAGAAGAAGGTCCCTATTCTGGTGTTGGTTAGAGAGTGTCTGTAAGGACTTCCCAGTGAGGTAGACAGAAGGGTACAGGGGAGCCCAGGCAAATGGAGCAGTGAGAGAGAGAGTCTGGGACCACAGTCATTCAATGTGGGCATCATTCAACACCCACCTCTGAGGAAGGTGCATTCAGCCTTTGGGTTTCCACCCAGCTACACGGTCACACCAAGGACAGGGAGTGAAAAAAGAGCCAAGTTGTGATGGAAATCAAAAATTATCATTATTATTAACTTCTCAAAATGCTGCTTTGGAAGAAGTTGTCATTTTCAGCAAATCAGTCACAGACAGTATCACCTCTACAGAGTCAGTGTCAGACAGCGTCACTTCTACCTGGCTCGGTAACATGATGGACAGTGTCACCTCTACCAGTTCAGCACCGGACAGTATCACCTCTCTCTGGACTGGTGTTGGACAGTATCACCTCTACATGGGTCAGTGTTGGACAGTGTCACCTCTACCTGGGTTGGTGTTGGACCGTGTCACCTCTACTGGGGTCAGTATTGTATAGTGTAACCTCTACCTGAGTTTGTGTTAAATAGTGTCACCTCTACCTGAGTCAGTGTTGGACAGTGTCACCTCTACCTTGCTCACTGTTGGACAGTGTCACCTCTACCCTGAGTTGGTGTTGAACAGTCTCACCTTTGTATTGCTGAGCTGGCATTGGATATTGTCACCTCTACTCTGAGTTGGTGTTGGACTGTGTCACCTTTGGATTGCTGAGCTGGCATTGGATAGTGTCACCTCTACCTGAGTTGGTGTTGGACTGTGTCATCTTTAGATCGCTGGAGCATTGGTTGGAACTCCCTTTCCCATTACACATGGGCAAACTGTGGTCAAAAATACTTTTTCAATAAGAAAACAAAAAGTCCAGTTTTTAAATGGGCAAAAAATCTGGATAGACACATCACTGAAGAAGAGCTACAGATGTCAAATAAGCATATGAAAAGATACTCCTCATCAAATATCATCAGGCATATGCAAATTAAACAACAGTGAGTTCCCACTGCACACCTATTACACCTACTAGGATGGCCAAAATCCAGAACACTGACAACACGAAATGCAGGAGGGGACGTGGAGCAACAGGATCTCTCCATCCATGGCTGGTGGGAATGCAAAATGGTGCAGCCCCTTTGGGAGACAGTTTGGTGATCTCTTACACAACTAAACCTACTCTTACCATATGACCCAGCAATTGTGCTCCTCGGTATTTGTCCAAAGGAGTTGAAAACTGGCATCTACCCAGAAATCTGCAGATGGATGTTTACAGCAGCTTTATTCATGATTGCCGAAATCTGTAAGCAGCCAAGATGTCCTGCAGTAGGTGAGTGGATAAATATACTGTGGTACATCCAAACAAAGGAATATTATTCGGCTTGAAAAAGATACGAGCTATCAAACCCCAAAAGTCGTGGAGGAAACTTAAATGCATATTACTTAGTGAAGGACGCCAGTCTTTAAAAGGCTACATATTATATGATTCCAATTATATGACATTCTGGAAAAGACAAAGCTATAGAGACAGTGAAAAGATCAGTGGTAGGTCAGTCACAGTGGCTCATGCCTGTAATCCCAGCGCTTTGGGAGGCTGAGGCAGGAGGACTGCTAGAATACAGAAGTTTAAGAACAGCCTGCACAACATAGCAAGACCCCGTCTCTACTGAAAATCAAAAAAGCTAAAGCAGGAGGATTGCTTGAGCCCAGGAGTTCAAGACTGCAGTGAGCTATGATCACACCATTGCATTACAGCCTGGGCAACAGAGTGAGACCCTGTCTCAAAAAAAAAATCAGTGATTGCCAGGGACTTGGGGAGAGGGAGGGATGAATAATCTACGCACACAGGATTTTTAGGCCAATGAAACCATTCTGTATGATGCTACAATGGTGGATGCATGCATGTCATTATGTGTTTGTGAAAACCCATAGAATGTACAACACCAAGAGTGAGGCCTCAAGTTAACTCTGGAAAAGTGGGGTTTTTGTTGTTGTTTATTTCTTTGTTTGTTTTTGAGACAGAGTCTCACTCTGTCACCCCAGGCTGGAATGCAGTGGTGTGATCTCGGCTCACTGCAACCTCTGCCTCCCAGGTTCAAGCGATTCTCCTGCCTCAGCCTTCCAAGTAGCTGGGATTACAGGTGCACACCGCCATGCCTGGCTAATTTTTGTATTTTTAGTAGAGACAGGGTTTCACCATGTTAGCCAGGCTGGTCTCCAACTCCTGAGTTTGTGATCCGCTGGCCTCGGTCTCCCAACGTGGTGGGATTACAGGCGTGAGCCACCGCGACGGGTGGAAAAAGTAATTTTCATGTACTCTTTTATATTCATTCATTCAATCAGCAGCTATAGAGGCACTCACACAATCCCATCAAGCAGTGTGGCTCACCATTTTTAATCCATGCCCCTTTTGATACTGTCATTTAAAGGGTCCAAATAAATGTCATACTAACCTAAAAAATAAACAGGAGGTAATTTTTTTTTTTTTTTTTTTTTGAGACAGAGTCTTGCTCTGCCACCCAGGTCGGAGAGCAGTGGCACAATCTCGGCTCATTGAAACCTCCACGCCAGGGTTCAAGCAATTCTCCTGCCTCAGCCTCCCGAGTAGCTGGGATTACAGACACCTGCCACCACGCCCGGCTAATTTTTGTATTTTTAGTAGAGACGGGGTTTCACCATGTTAGTCAGGCTGATCTTGAACTCCTGACCTCAGGCAATCCACCCACCTCAGCCTCCCAAAGTGGTGGGATTACAGGCGTGAGCCATCGTGCCCGGCCTAGTAATGGTTATTTTTAATAATCTGTTTTAAACCACCGCAGGTCCTGCTCACCACGATTCTGATATTCGCTCCTCTCTGGGGAACTCCCCATCTCCACCCAACCCTCCCCCAGCCCTGCCCTGGCCCAAGCAGGTTGGTCCCTGTGTGACTCAAAATCTCTGCCTGCTGGAGTAAAATACAGTGTGTGAGGAGAGCTGTACGAAACGTACAAAGAAGGGGCCAGGCGCGGTGGCTCACGCCTGTAATCCCAGCACTTTGGGAGGCCGAGGTGGGCAGATCACGAGGTCAGGAGATCGAGACCATCCTGGCTAACACGGTGAAACCCTGTCTCTACTAAAAATACAAAAAATTAGCCGGGCGAGGTGGCGGGCGCCTGTAGTTCCAGCTACTCGGGAGGCTGAGGCAGAATGGCCTGAACCCAGGAGGCGGAGCTTGCAGTGAGCCGGGATCGTGCCTCTGCACTCCAGCCTGGGAGACAGAGCGAGACTCTGTCTCAAAAAAAAAAAGGAAATGTACAAAGAAGGAATTCTTCATAAAAATAAAGCCATTACCACCTGGAACTAGTAGGTGTCACCTGGACTGGGACTCGCAGAAAGGGTGGAATTTGAAAAGCACAAGTGGAAGAAAGAACATTCATAAAAAGAAAACAGCCTAAGAGAAAACACAGAGATGACTAACCACAAATCACAGATGAGAAAGCTGAATTGTCTAGTTCGACGAGAACAAACTACGTATGTCAGCACCTCGCATGGTGTCCTACATGTAATAAGAATTCATTAAATATGGGCTGATGAATCCATGAATATTGTGGAGTCTGGAAGGATAGACAGGAAAACAGATTGCCACAAGACAGTGAAGGAACTTCACGATGGGCAGAAAAAGGCTGGAGTTTATTCTGAGGGATCATAACAGGAATTTATGGTTTTTGAACAGGGATGTGGCATGATTGTATCTGTGTGCTTCAGAAAATTTATCTCACCACTATCTATGAGATGGAGAAACACCTGGCAGAAAGACAGTAAGCAGAAGTGTCTACAGTGATCCATGTGTAAGAATAACTCTGAGAGTTTGCATTAACTCTTATAAGTAACTTTCCTTTGAAATTGCATCTTAAGGCAGGGCATAGTGGCTCACGCCTGTAATCCCAGCACTTTGGGAGGTCCAGGACGGTGGATCCCAGTAGCTGGGATTATAGGCGGCCGCCACCAAGCCTGGTTAATTTTTGTATGTTTAGTAGAGACAGGGTTTCACCATATTGGCCAGGCTGGTCTCGAACTCCTGACTTCAGGTGATCCACCCACCCCAGCCTCCCAAAGTGCTGGGTTTATAGCATGAGTCACTGCGCCTGGCCAATTCCTTTTATTATATTTTCTTTCTGCTTTCCAAAGTATTACATGCTTTTGGCAAAAAAAAAAATTGTAATATACAAAAAAAGTATTCATCACCTGCAATTTTATCACCTATGGAAACTGTATATATTTTGTTGCATTTATTTATGATCCATTTTTTTAGGCATGACAGACATACATAGCCACACATGTGATAAGACCATTTTCCACATAATTATTTTATAATCTGGATTTTTTTCCTTTAAAAGTGAATGGTTTTAATTAATCTATAACTGTGAAAGTAATGTGTTCATTACAAAAAACAAAAACAGTGAAAACTGTGAAGAAGGAAAATGAAATCATCTAAAATCCCACCATCGAATGAAACTGCTGCTGTCAACATTTTGTTGTAGAACCTAGGTTTTTCTTTCCTTTATATCACTTTTCACATAATTCTATATAGACTAGATATATATAAAGATTATATATAATTAGATAGATGATATGCATAGATTAGATACATGATAATGTTTTTTTAATGATCATACTTCATTCATTCTTGTGTAATCTCTTTATCTAACAATCTATAAAATGGACATTTCCCCACATTGTTAAATATTGTTTTACAACGTGACTATTTAATGACTGTACACAGTTTCACCATATAATTGTTTCATAATTTAGTTAACAATTCATCCATAATGTTTAGGTAGTGTGCAGTCTTTGCTGTTGGAAACACCTCTACAGAAAACATCAATGTCAGTTACTCTTTGCTCAAATTCAAGATTTTCTTAGGATAAATTCATGTAGGTGAAACTGTTCATTAAGAGACTCCTACTCTTGTTCATTCACAAACTCCTAAATTCAGTGCACATAACCTGCTAAAATACTGTACATCGGATTTATTTTTGAGATAGCTCTAATTTCTAAATGGAGCAGTTGATCACTCTTCTTCAGAATACCACAGATATATTAATTGATGCAAAAATAAAGGCAGTAACTAGAATGCGAGTTATCCATCACTACCGGAGCTCTGGGCTAGGGGATGGGAGAGCTTCAGCCACCACCCAACAGAGGAGAGGCTATCGAGTGATCACTGCCTGCCCCACTGGGATCTACCCCCACATCATATTCTTTGCAATGTGCTTCATGGAGCCCAGGGGTGTCTTTGTTTCCTCCCTCCTTCCCGCATTCATTCATTCCAATCATTCATTCATTTAACTAACGCCAATGCTACCCCAACCTTTCTTTCTTCTGTATTTTTTAAACATCCCTTGCCCACTTTTTTAAGCTCCCCTCCCATATTTTTACTCTTCTAATCTTTACTTTTATTTTGTATTTATTTTTGTTGGGTTTTTTTAATAAAAATAAAGTTTCTTTTTAGTTCTCGCAGAGCAGGACCACCCATAAGTACCCCATAGGGTGGTACTTATACTTTTTTAGGATAAGTGCCCAGAGTAGCCTAATGTCTGCTTTTAAATCTTTATGTATTGGAGGGAAAGAGCGAGAGAGAGAGAGAGAGAGAGAGTGTGTGTGTGTGTGTGTGCACGCGCGCGCGTGCGCACACGCGTGCACACGTGCATATGTGTGTACACAGATTATTATGTAAACAGCGCATGTCTTTCTCAGCCAAATGGGTGATATAACTGACTGACATTTGGCTCCATTTACTCCATGTGGCAAGTCTAAAACACTGGGTTTGCATGCACCAACCATGAGTTGAATGCACAAACCATAGCTATCTAGGATTTCTAAATATCACGGAACACAAGTACAAACAAAACTATCACACTAAAGATTCCAAGTATTTGTATTGCTAAAAAATGTCGATACAACAATCGACTAACATAACATTGGAGCATTTTTTTTTTGAGTCGGGATCTTACTCTGTTGCCCAGTCCGGAGTTCAGTGGCACAATCATAGCTCACTACAACCTTGAACTCCTGGACTCAAGCAATCTTCCCGCCTCAGACTCACAAATAGCTAGGATTACAGGTGCATGCCACCACACCAAAGATTAATGACGAACAAATTATGAAATTTTTAAATAAAGACAGAAGCGTTCATTTTACAGTTTCTCTTACGTTGCATTCAAATATTATTTATCTCTGTTACTGGGTTTGTGCCCAAGGCAATGACTCACTGTCCTCACCGTGGTCCCTAAAACAAGTAAGTGCCAGCTTTGAGTTAAAACCTAGCCTAAGGCCAGGTGCAGTGGCTCATGCCTGTAATCCTAAAACTTTGGGAGGGCAAGGTGAGAGGATCTCTTGAAGCCAAGAGTTTGGGAGCAGCCTGAGCCACAGCAAGACCCTGTTCCCACAAAAAATTTTAAAAAATAATTTAATTTAAAAAAAAATCCTAGTCTTCTTTCTGTCTAGGGAAAGAAAAAGATAGTGGGAAGAGCAGCTCCCACCCTACAGCCCTGGAAATGTCTCAGCCCCACAGGCCCTTCCTCCCCTCACCAAAGGGGCTCTGTGTCTCCCTGAATTTAACAAATAAAAACACAGGGCACTCAGTCCCATTTGAATTTCAGATAAACAAGGGTACTTTTTTTAGTATAAGTACATCCCATGCAATGTTTGGGACATACTTATGCTTAAAAAAATAAATAAACTCCACGTATTTATTTGAAATTCAAATGGCACTGAACATCCTGTAGGTTGTCTGCCAATCCTCTCTCCATTCCACCCCCACCCTCCGCCCCCCAGGAAGGCTTCCCTAAGCCCAGACAAGAGTTTCTATCTACCCCAGAGAGACGGTCACTCTGAAGGCTAATAGCAAGAACAAAAGAAATAAAAATAACAAACGGACTGAAAACTGCCCAGCACGGAAAGAATGTTATAGCACATCTGCTGACAGAGACGGAGGGAGATTTCCAACATAAACAAGGAAATTTAATCTCTCATTTGCAAAAGCTTCCCTTGTGCTGATTTGTTAGTCACTCATGTAAAGACACAGAACCAAGTGCATTTTTATTGAGCTGCTTTTTTCTTATATTATGCAAATCAAAGCCATCCCTGCTGATAAGTGCAGTTAGAGATGCGAGAAACAGCGAGGTGAGGGCTGTGCCCCCACATGCTCGAACCAGTTTTATGAATTGATCAAGTCCATCAAATTTAGCTTCTTTTCCCAACCACATTGGTTGTTTGGCCAACCAACTGCACGAAGTACTTCAGTCAAACGCTCTGCATTTTGCCATAGCTCTGAGGCTGCAGATTGCTTCAGACCCCGGATCAACGTGCGTCTGACTATTCCGCTCATTTTCGTTCTTTAGCCTGCTCGCTGGCCCCAGGTAGGAAGAAGGAGGATCGTAAACCATAAGAGGAAAGCTACCATCTTGCAGGCACCTCTGCTGCCTCAGAAGGTGGCCAGGGAGGGCTTTTGTCCCCTCCTCAACATCAGCGGGCACGCTAAGGCACCTAGCTGAAGCAGAATGAAGGCAGCAATGGTTTTCATCTGAAAATCAGAGTTTTCCAACTAAGGATCTTCTTTATGGTTTCCACATTTGAGCGACTGCTACTCATGATACTAAGTACAACTGCTGTCCTCTGAACCTGGCTCCCAAGGAGATGTGCCTTGATCATATGGATGTAAGCTGAAAGTTGGCTAGAAAAGCCTCTCTCTCTCTCTCACTTACTTCTCATTATTTTCTATGTATTTTTTCTTTGTTACAAAATTTCAATTCTTTTTTTATTTTTTCATTTTTTAAAAAAATTGAAATGAGGCCTTGCTCTGTTGCCTAGGCAGGTCTCAAACTCCCAGGCTCAAGCAATCATCCCATCTCAGTCTCCCAAGTGCTGAGATTACAGGCGTGAGCCACTGCACCTGGCCTTGGATGCAACTTTTATGTGTAATTTTATATTCTATTCACATCTTTGCTTTTCTTATTTTTATTTCCACCTTTTTGAGACAAGGTCTTGCTCTGTCACCCACGCTGAAGTGCAGCGGCAAGATCATAGCTCACTGCAGCCTCGAACTCCTGGGCTCAAGTGATCTTCTTGCTTCAACCTCCCAAGTAGCTGGGACCACAGGCATGTGTCACCATACCACACTAATTTTTTTTATTTTTAGTAGAGAAAGAGTCTCACTATGTTGCCCAGGCTGGTCTCGAACTCCTGAGCTCCAGCAATCCTCCCACCTTGGCACCTTGACCTCCCAAAGTGCTGGAATTACAGGCATGAGCCACTGTGCCTGGCCTACATCATCACTTTTTTAAACTAAAAATAAACAGCTCTCCACCTCCCTAGCCACAGAAAGAAACAGAAGGACCTATGCACTCATAAAGATTCCAAACAGTCGATGATTGGCCAAACTGTCCTTAAAAGTAGATAAAACTGCTTCTTTTCCATTTGTGGCTAGAATCAAGGTCTTGTCCCTCAAATTGCCTGTGTGACCTTGGGTGAGCCAGTTCACAGCTTTGGCCTTTGTATATTCATCTAGAAACATGAACTAAACCATTTTTATAAACACTTCCAGATCTAAGATTTTAAGGTGAAAACCGGCTTTCAGTAAGTACTATCTTTGGAAAGTTTAAGAGATTTGGGCAATATGGGTATTATAAAGAGAAACATTGTCTAGGATCTCCCACCATCTCCAACTGCTTGTTGAATTTGCAGAAGCTTGAATTGATAGGTTAGGGGAAAAGGTTAAGAGAAGAGGGACCATTTCCACCCCTCTACTGCATGGAACGTTCATCTCTTGAAGACCAGTCAACTTGCAGAGATTGCTTAGATAGTAGCTACAGTTAGCACCAAGGGTCGTGCAAGCCTCCCTTGAGCCCAGGAGGCCGAGGCTGCAGTGAGCTATAATTGCACCACTGTACTCCATCCTGGGCAGAAAAAAAAAATTAGAGATCTGTTTTAGAATTCCAACACAAAGAAAAAAGAAAGGTGGAGTGAGATTATCAAATACATTATTCAAGAAATTTTCCCAGAATTTAAGCACGTGGGTTTCCAGATTATAAAAGCTTGAGTGCCCCCAGAGAATGAATGAAAAGAGACCCACAGCAAGGTAGAGCTTTGTGAAGCTTTAATCACTGGAGACAAAGACAAGATACTAAAATACTGAAGGGAGAAAACAGAAAGCCAGAGGAGATTCTCCAGCAAGTGAAGTGAGGAAAGGAGGGGGAAGACATGAAGACACAGCGACCAGGAAACAGGGCTCCAACCCCCTAAAGGGCCAAAGAGTATCTTTAGGATGAGGGGAAGGAAAATTTCAGGGCCAGAGAGCAATCACCAGGTTGTCAATCACAAGCAAAGAGCTTTCCAAAACATAAATTTATTGCACACCAGATGAATGTGAACACATGGAGCAGAGATTAAAACAAGCAGATGTTTCAGGGCTTATTTATCTTTATTTTATTTTATTTATTTTTTGAGACAGAGTTTCCCTCTGTCACCCAGGTTGGAATGCAATGGTACTATCTCAGCTCACTACAACCTCCGCCTCCCTCCCAGGTTCAAGCAATTCTCCTGCCTCAGCCTCTTCAGTAGCTGGGATTAAAGGGGTGCGCCACCATGCCTGGCTAATTTTTGTATTTTTAGTAGAGACAGGGTTTTGCCATGTTGGCCAGGCTGGTCTCGAACTCCTGACTTCAGGTGATCCACCCACCCCAGCCTCCCAAAGTGCTGGGATTACAAGCTTGAGCCACTGCACCTGGCTCTGATCATTATTTTAAAAAACTAAATAAAAATAAGACAATTATTAACTCCAAGAAAGTGAAAACATTTTGTAAGAAAACAGGGTAATCATAGTATTTTAAAAGTCTTGGTTGTGATTAACACTCACGTAAAACAGCATGACCACATTTACTACATAACTGTAGTGGGAGAATGGGGAGAGGGGAGTGAATGTTGAGAGGTAATCAGAGGTAGCTGAGGGGCAGATTTGGTGAAAGAGAAAGAAAGTTTCATCTCCAGCATTGGAAAGAAAATAGAAAATGCCTAATGGTGAAATTCAAGAAATAGCATTCAAAACATGTTACTTAGTGATAACGGAGGTTAATACCAAAGGAACAATTAAAATTGTTGAAAAGCATGCCTGCAGTCCCAGCTACTCAGGAGGCTGAGGCAGGAGTTTCCCTTGAGCCCCAGAGTTCAAGACCAGCCTGGACAACATAGTGAGACTTCATAAAAAAAAAAAAAAAAGTGATATTCTCTGGAGATTAGGAAAGTGTAGGAGGGTTTTGGGCAAGGGATTGCCATTTTTCATAATAAGCTTCATAATCTGACTCTCTAAACTATGTACATGTGCAACTTTGATAAAAATAAAATCAAAAATATTAAAATTCAGATGTCATTTTATATCTGCATCATTGAGAGACCCAGGGTAGAATGTATAGAGCAGGGAAAAATTATAAAGAACGTTGACGGTCACAGGGAGAATACCAGCAAATATCTGGTGGCTGTTCTTAGGAACGTTTGCTGGAATTCCTTGACTCCACAATTGAATGAAAGCTAGTTTTTGATCATCTGTCTTGAAAAGCGATATGTCCTCTTTCCAAACACGTGTGACTGCCCATGTGCTGGGCATTAAAAGCAGTAACAAAGCTAATCAAAGGGGCCTCCCGCAAATATTTTCACGACATAGACCAGACCACAACATTTTTCCTACACCTACTAATCACAGCAAAGGTATGTCAGTGGCAGGAAGCTGTAATGACAGAGGAAAATCTAGTACAAGGGGAGGGAATAGTATCCTTATTAAAGTTCGTAATAACCAAGGGCCACGGGGACAGAAAACAACCTACCTTCCTCGGGGAACTGACTGTAATTCCACTCGAATCTAAGTGAGTTGGATGATGAATTAAAATAGTTAACATGTATTGAGCATCAGTGCGTTAACATTTATTTATTATATGCTGGAAACTGCTTATTGCTTTGTGTATATTAAGTCCTTTAATCCAATAGCAACCTAATGAAGTAGGTATGATTCTTCTCCTCATTTTAGAGATGAGCAAACCAGGGCACAAAGAGGTGAGATAACAGGCTCAGGATGGCCTAACTGGGAAGTGATGGAGCCAGGAGGGGCACAGAAGTTCCAGCCGCATTGCCTGTGTGCACTTAGGCATTTCATCTCCACCCCTCGTTGCAAGGCTTCAGTCCCCATTTCTCCCTTGGGAGTACTAAGCCAAACATCTCAAAGAAGAGGGAGGTAGGACGGCATGGGATGAGGCCCAACTGCCCAATTCCAACACCTTCAATTGTCCAGATTTATCACCGCTGATTCTTTGCTGTGCCTGGCTCTGGCTGTGTCCTTTCTGCAGCCAAACATCATCTGGTAGATCAGATAAACCAAGCACCCCAGGTGCAGCATGAAATCAGTGTGACCAATATCCAAACACCAACAAGGAGGGCATCTAAAGCAGATGGGACTGACACCCCTCGAGCCACTCTTGCAGGCCAGGGCTGCCCCAACCTTGCAGAGGGGGGGAAGCACACTCCCACTTTTCTTCAGGACAGCAGCCCACCTGTGTGGATCCCCTGAAGTTGGTCACAGCCATGAAACAGATCCTTAAAGCATAACAAGAGATGCTATTATTGAGTCCTTAGCACATGCCAGTTCTCTGCTATGCATTTCACAAGGATCAATCTCAGTTAATCTTCCAGCAATCCGAAGAAGTAGGCATATTACCAGGCCGGGCGGCGGAGCTTGCAGTGAGCCAAGATCGCACCACTGCACTCCAGCCTGGGCGACAGAGTGAGACTCCATTTCAAAAAAAAAAAGAAGTAGACATATTACCATCATGTCTGGATGGGGAAACTGAGGCTCCCAGATGGTGAGTGACTCACCCAAGTTCACAGTTACTAAGTGACAGAGCCAAATTACAAATCCTAACTGTCTCATTCCAAAGCCCTCTGCCTTTTACAAACACAAATGATTGACAGGAAAAAAACGACTGGTAAAGTTGGAGAACCCAACAGGAAAGAACCTAGAAGTTCTTTGAGGATAATAGGATCATAGTTGTTTCCCATCCTTACAACAATCGACAAGATATTCTTTTATTTAGACTTTCGTCATTATTGTCATCGTTGTCATTCTTGTTGTTCAAAGATGACCATTTGCTTAAAATAAAACTGCCAGTCTGGGACAGAGACAGAAGTAGAGGCCTGCAGTCTCCATACTCTGTTTATAACCCTCCTGGCTGACTTTGATGCTTGAGAACACTGATTTTCCATGGCAATTTTTTACATATCCCTAGCAATCGCTAAGAAAACATCTATTTTCTAGCTAAGGCAGCATTTACTCAAGAGAGGTCAAGGTAAGCACTTCCATTTTCTAGCATACACTGCAAGTTAAAGGCAAGTTACAACCCAGATCCTCGTATATGTTTATGAACTCAGAGAAGAGAAAGAAGTGAAAGAAAATATTACACCTCCAGCTAAAGGGTGGGCTTCTTTCCTCCAGAACCAAGGCTTCTGGGACAATCAGTCCTACGGTGTTGCAGTTTTGCTTTCTCTGAATTCTGACAGCAGTCTGTCTGTGTCATCCACTGGGTCCTCAGTATATATAGTGACTCTGTCCTTTCTGTGACCATTTTAGTCTTCTCGTGTGAGAATCTTACTTCCTAAGAGGCACCCAGGGGGATTGGACTAGATCTAACCCACTTTGTCTCTCCCCGTGCCCTTATACAGCACTGGCTGTGTGCAATCTGGAACCGGACAAATGTTTGTTGGATTTACTAGTTCCTGTAGCAGGAGAGAGAACTGGAGGTGCTTACGAGCAAATCCAGCTCAAGCATTGAGAAAACATCTCAGAACAGCATAATCTGCTGATGTATTTCTCCTTTGTTGACACTGCTACAGAAAATGCTCTCTTGCATAATGAGGGCACATGATGAGAAGGAAAAGTGACTACAATCTTGCATGTGAGAATCCAACTTCACAGACTTTTCCATTTCAGCCAACAAACCAGAACAACTTCTGTTTCTGATCTTTTCCCCATCTACCCAGCCCGCCAGAGCACAGTGGGCTTTCATGCGTAAACGTTTGCACGCCCTTCAAGAAACAGAATGAACGATACCGTGTGATTGCAGCATTTTATCAAGAATCAGCGTGATTTTGCAGGAATAGAAGCAATCATAATCAGAACAGCTCGTGTTTTGTTACAAAAAGAATTAGGTCCCTTTGTTTTTTCTGAGTTTTAACAGGAGCATTAAGAACTAATGGAGCATCTGTCTACAAACAGAGGACTTTCAAAACTACAGAACTGAGGCCTCAGCAGAAAGGCGCACATCCTGGAAAAAGCTCATAGCAGCTGTGACTTGCTGCAATGATAACCTCCAGGCAACCTCAAGGAATTTCTAAATGCAAACGGACACAAAGAGGCATTTCTTCATAATGTCTTCCTGTGTAGCAAAATAAAGGTAGACTTAATGATCTTTCAGTAATCCCTTTTGCTTTAAGAGTTAAAAATATTTGGTATTTCCCCCACATCAATTCACTCCCAAATAATTCATTGTTCCACTAGGAATAGAATGGAAATTGTCTTCTTGCTCTTTATTTTCCACCAACTGCCCCTCATACCAAACCTCCTCTCCCCAAACAAATGAGCAAACAGATACACTCTTGGGGCCCATGCCACTGAAGGGCCAGCCATGGGCTCAGAAAGGCCAGGTGTGGCCAGTGACAGGCCTTAAGCACCAACCCAGATCGCAGAAGCCAAAAGCATCTACAGCTTTGGAAATTGATCTGAACGTTTTGTCCTCTTCAAGTCCCTTCCAGGTGGCCAGTACAGTGTGCATGCTCACTGGGACCTGTCTGTCAGAATGCTGACTCCCCAACTCAAAGCCCCCAAGCCTTTGGGCACCATCTTGGAAGGAAATAGACAAAGGCCACTTAGTCATTAAAAAATGCAGACCTAGACCTGGGAAGCATTTTTTAATGCAGCTCATGGTCAGAGGCTGCCAGCAAGCTCAAAGGGCTCACTTCCTACAATCAAATTCCAGTTCTTCTTCCTGAAAGGAAACATTGAAGCATCCTTTTTTCATGGCTTACAATAAAAAAAAAAAAAATCAGATGAACAACGATAGAAAGGAGATGTTGACAGGTCATACTTCCCTCTGAGCCCAAATAGATTTCAAACCTATCATGGGCAGGTTCTCTAAATGCAGGGCAGTACCTCCCACAGAAATTTGCCTCTGAGAGGATGGTATCATTAACCCTCTGAACCTGAGACAGGCTTCCTGTCCCCACATCCCCCAGCCCCACACATTCAGGACCCCTTCAGGGGACATGGAGTAAGGGCAAGTTTTCTGTAAGTCAATCCCTGTGTCCTCTTAGGCTGGAATCTTGATACCTCAACACTGACAACCTATTAACATGTTTTTTTTTCAATATTCCCTCCAAAAAAAAAATCTTTTAAAAATGTGACCCATTCATTTGTATTTTTAATTGCATTTTCTGTGCAAAGAGATATAAAAGAAACTAGACAACAATGACAGAGAATCATGACCTCCAAAATGAGGTTCATCCATCGCTGGTGGGTGCCAGGTTACAAACGATGGCCTCTGCCATAGTGGGGAATGTGATTGACCCAACATCTTGTTTCAAGAACCTACCAAGTGCAAGGTATTGACCGGACACAGTTCAGGCCTTCAGAGCTCTTCACATCCAGTACAGGAGCGATGATGTATTAAATGAATGACTGTAGCACGGGAACAAGTATTAGAAATACCACAAAATCCAGGCTCAGTGCCTCATGCCTCTAATCCTCATACTTTGGGAGGCTGAGGTGGGAGGATCGATTGAGCCCAGGAGTTCAATACCAGCCTGGGCAGCCTGGCAAAATCCCACCTCTACAAAAACTAGCCCAGCATGGTGGCATGAACCTGCAATCCCAGATACTTAGGAGGGTGAGGCGAGAGGATGGCTTGAGCCCAGCAGGTCAAGACTGAAGTGAGCTGTGATCGTACCACTGTACTCCAGGTGGGGTGATAGAGTGAGACCCCATCTCAAAAAAAAAAAATACTACAAAAGTGATACAGGGAAAATGTAATGGGCATTCAAATCAGGAAGAGATGATAGGTTGCCTGGTACACGTCTACAAGCTAGAGATGCTTATACATTTTGTTCATAAGTTTGATTTACAACCAGCTCTGAAACTCACCAGACTCAAATCCAAAAGAAACGGGAAGGTTCTGAAAAAACATAGCCTTGCTACACTTCTCAGGTCCCAGCTCCTTGACCAAAAAGATGGCAATGTCAAATCTTCCTACAATTATATTGGAACAAGAAGTTGGAACAACCCTCTTCCCCAGGCCCCTACACTCTTCGAAAAATAAAATAAAATAAAAACCACTTCCTAAGCTTCAGAAATGGTTAACGCTGAAGCGCCCTGTCACAGAAAATGATGGATCTGCTTCTCTGAAGGGTTTTCAGAAAGATGTCTATAGTCATTTCTCTGAAGCGGCTTAGTATAGAGGCAGCAACTTTGTTCCCAGACGGTGGGCAAACCTCAGTGTCTCAGCTCTGCCATCAGTCAAGGGTGATCTGTGAGGCCCTTTCCAGCCCCAACACTGCGTCTTCCCTTGACTCTAAATCACCATTTGAGGAGCCTCACAGGCATCAGAATCCACAGAGCTTAGAGGCCATTGTTGCTAAACTCCAAACTACTCCTGAGAACCAAATCAAAAGAGGTGCAAGGGGAAAAACCGTCTCACTCATTAAAAAAAAAAAAAAAAAAAAACTACATAAAAAAATAGAACCATTGCTTAGCTCTAATATGAAACAAGAAAGTTAAGCAGAGTGGGGGTGGGGATGGGGGTGGGGTGGGGGGCATTTTTCCAGAACCCGTTCGCCTCTCCCAAGTGGCAACACCCATGTGCCTCTCACTGGAAGCATTGCAACACTCCATCCCTGAAACTGACCTAGTTTGTGGCTGGTTCTTTAAGAATGTGCTTCTTGCTCCAAAGATGGTCCTCACCTTGTCCAGGTACAAGGAGAGGGAACCTATACCTGGACACTCGCTAGGACTCTTTCTATCACTCTGGAGGCAGCTTTGGGTGAGATGAGGAAAATGCCAGTCACTGCTCTACAAAGACCCCAGAGCCCCAAAGAGAGACGGGGCACCTCCCCAGCCACATTGCTCACAAGTCCCAGAAGCCACCTGCATTCGTTTCTCACCTGGCCTGGGATCACTTGTGACCCAGAAGCAGCTGTCAGCCCCGCCCTGCCCCGGGACCCCACCAGCGGAGGCCACTCTCCCTCAGTCTCTCTGTCCCTTCTCATGGGCACAGACCTGGGACGGGAACACCAGACTCCACTGTGGGTAGAAACACAGCTTGTTTTTAAGTTGCAAGAAACAGAAATGAGCTCAAGCTTTTGTACCCAGTCTCCCCTTCTTGCACCCAGTCTCCTCCCCCCCAGGAAGCTTCCTGAAGTAGGTAGGACAGGTCTTGGCTCCTGCCTGCCTTTCACTGGCCTTGGCCTTGTTTCTTCTCCTCCAGGGGCCTTCCTCCACCATGCATCAGCCTGAAGAGCAGCAGTGGCCTCAGCCACGCCCCTCCAAGGACAATCTCTCCCAGTGTCCTGTCCTCCTGGGACACACCCAGGCCTCCCACACTTCCTTGCCAACGGTGACTGCTTTTCCACCCATCCCTGGCTTCCAGGGGAGAACTTGGCCTCAAGAAGCAAAGACTCCAATGCCACTGAAAACTCTTTCCCTGTCCCCACCCCAGCTCCTGTCTTCCCTCAGGTGGGAGCACTGACCTACTGCCTGGGTGACCTTTTCCCTGAGGCTCCAGCATTTCCTTCCGAAGCAATTGGAAGAAAAACCCAGGCCACACCAGTTCCCATAGGACGAGGCTTTCACCTTCCCTGAATTCCTGTACTGATGCCGAGGGCCCTGGGTCCCATGCCCTGCTCTCTCACCCCACATTTCCCCAGGAGTGTCCTGAGGCCAGAAGATCCCCTTTGTTTGAAGCCCACCTTACTAAGTGGTGTTTCTACTTTAGGATGTGATAAGGCTTTCTAGACAGCTGATGAGTCAAACCGCCATCTCATTATTCCACTGTGTGAGTGGTATCAAGAAGTCAGGGCTTAGTCGGCACTGGATTCAACTCCAGATCTCAATGGCATGGGATCAATGAAGCATGCTCCTTCCCTCGCACCATTGCCCTCCTTGATTTAGGAGCTTCCTTCAACCCAGTCATTGTCCTCCGCTCTCCTGTGAGGGTTGCACAGACACTTTAAAGGGGCTCCTTCCCAGGGGGCAAAGAGCAGAGTTCACATTTCTCTGCCTCTCTCTCATCGGGACCTAATACGATGTACAGTGCTTCCTTGGGGCTCATTGTATGGGGTCTTGCTGATTTTCTGAGGGAAGCATTTGGGAAATGCAGGCTCCAGGAGCCAAAAAACTTCTTTCCAGTGGTTCTCAAAATGAGGTCTTGTGTCCACGTGCGTCAGAATGTCCAAGAGCCCTTACTCAAAATGCAGATTCTTCAGCCGAACCCAAGACCTGCTGGCTCAAAACACATCAGGGTGAGGCGGATCCTAAAGCTACTTTTTTTTTTGAGATGGGATCTTGCTCTGTTACCCAGGCTGGAGTGCAGTGGTACAATCATAGCTCACTGCAGCCTCAACCTCCTAGGCTCAAGCGATCCTCCCAATTCAGCCTCCCAAGTAGCTGGGACTATAGGCACACGCCACCATGCCTGGCTCATTTTTCTTTCCTTTCCCCCTCCACCCCTTTGTAGAGAGGAGTCTTCCTATGTTGCCCAGGTTGGTCTCAAACTCATGGACCCAAGCAATCCTCCTGCTTTGGCTTCCCAAAGTGCTGAGATTACAGGCATCATCCACCAGGCCCAACCTACATCCTTTAACAAGCTTCCCAGATGAGTCTCCTGTGCATCAGAGTTTACTGAGCCACTAATTCAACTCTATTTTCACTGCCTTGAGACTTTTCTGGGTAAGAGGGAGGTGACTTTTGACTGAAGGAGGAATATGGGAGTGGTTACAAGTCCCTTAGCAACTACATCGTGTACGTGAATGGCCTCCTACTAACTGTTAAGGTGAGATGACCTTGCCTTGAGCTCTTCACATATAACCTCCAGACCTCCCTGATCATCAATTCAGCCTTCCTAAGGTGACCACACAGGGGCAAGGGGGCCAGCAATTCCTGGTACATCTCCCACTCGTTATTTGCCTGGGCGAGGCAATGGTGGAGACCCCAAACCTTGCCCAGGTGAAACAAGCTCCACAGGTGTGTGGAGGGTGGGGTGTACTGGGCCATCCAGCCCCAGTCTTTGTGTTAGGATAAGGGGAGGGAGAAGGAGTCTATAGGACACAGAAGAGTTCATTCCATTTTAATCTATTTGATGGTCATGTTTTCTCCAGGACAGTTGCTTTGGCTTATATTTACTAAACCACAGAGCAGTTGACCCATCCATTCAGTCAAATCAGTCAAACAGGTAATGCACCCAGGCCCAGCTTTGTGACAGGGCATCAGGACAAAGAAAGAGATGAATACCGAGCATAGTGGTCTCTGCCACTTGTAGCTGAAAGCTCTCAACCTCTGTCCACCTGCAAAATAGTGGAACTTGCCTGGGAAGTGCTATGTGATGCAAATGGAAAGAAGTGGTAAGGGTGCAATATGTGTCCAAGGAGAGACAGGTTTACACTTCAGCTCTGTACAGAGGGTGAAATACAAAAAAAAAAAAAAATAGATGAAAAGAGATAGATTTGAGCCTCAGGACATAATTAATTCATTTCAGCATTGCAGTAGAGTACATCCATTCCTCCTTTATAACCACATTTTCGGTGGCACAAATTCTGAGTCTTTATCCCTAATGACTCAGATGGAAATGACTCAGAGTCTTTATCCCTAACAGCTCAGATGGAAATACTCCTTACTTAGAAATACACCATGACTTCTGAAAGCATTGGAAAGGCTGAATTGTGGAAAGCCTGGGCTCACACAGGGGACAGAGAAGGGGCCTGGCGTAAGGTGGTGCAGAGGCCGGGCACAGTGGCTCTCACCTGTAATCCCAGCACTTTGGGAGGCAGAGGCAGGTGGATCACCTAAGGTCAGGAGTTCAAGACCAGCCTGGACAACAGGGCAAAACTCCCATCTCTACTAAAAACACAAAACATTAGCCAGGTGTGGTGGTGCACCCCTGTAATCCCACCTACTCAGGAGGCTGAGGGAGGAGAATCACTTGAATCCGGGAGGCAGAGGTTGCAGTGAGCCAAGACCACACCACTGCACTCCAGCCTGGGTGACAGAGTGAGACTCCACCTAAAAAAAAAAAAAAAAAAAAAAAAGAAAGGTGGCGGTGGTGTGTGTGTGCGTGTGTGTGTGCACTTGTGTGTATCTGCATGCATGAGTGTGTGCATGCACGTGTGTGTGTCCATGCACATGTGTGTGCAAGCACACATGCTCTCTTAAGAGACAGGTGCTATTTCAGACTTTCTCACTTACAAATAAGTCTCACTAACAAAGAGTCCAGAGCTGAGAGCCACTGTGTGCCCATCTGTTGACAGGCTGTTCAATTAACTTATTGTTACCAGTGAGACAGCAACTCAGTGTCTGGAGAAGAGGAAGTCCCAGGCACAAAAGGGACAGCCATGAAGCTGCTGGCAAGGCCAAGAAGGCAAGGTGTTCCCTCCGAGGCACGCGGCTCCGTCCCTCTCTCAGCCTCTTCGCCTCCTTCCTCCCCACTCCTGGTTACTTCCTCATTTTTTCTTCTCCTGGTTCCTGCTTCTCTCCTTTTCTTCTCACTCTCTTCCTTCTCTCATCATGGTCTCGCTGCTGGGGAATAGAAAGTGCCACCTTCTCCGTTGCAAGGATGCACTGATTCCGGAACAATAGGCACTGACGAAATAGAAATGGGCTCAGTTCTGAGAATTTGGTAAAGCTTCTGCTTATTTGAACAGAGCCAAGGAAGGAGAAAGGGGGAAGATGGGTTTTTGTCACCTCAAATGAACTTCAAACTCTTCCCCGCCCTTCCCTCACATGGGGGAGAATGTATTTTCTAATCTCCTCCCTCCCACCCTGTAAGTCATTTCTTGGTTTCACTCTTGAGGCAAAGAAGCCAAAAAGGTGGAGCTTGTGGGGGCTGGAACATTACCCAAAACAGAGTCATTGGACTACAACAGAGCCCTGGTTCAACTAAAAAGGTGTGCATCGCCCAGGGATATAGATGTGAACCAACCTTGGGGGAATGGCGATTTCCCATGTGGACACAGCTGGCTCTGTCTTGACTCATGGCCACAGCAACTGCAAATTTCAGGTTGCGCTGAGATGGCTGCATTTATCAACCTGTTTTCATGATCTACGTCCATTGGCAATGGCTCAGAGGGGAAAATAATCACTCTTAAAGGAAAAATGTTAATGTGATATACGTGGACATATTCTAAGCATTAGATCAAATTA
Source organism: Homo sapiens (assembly GCF_000001405.40). Lineage (NCBI taxonomy): Eukaryota > Metazoa > Chordata > Mammalia > Primates > Hominidae > Homo > Homo sapiens. The sequence goes on along the minus strand of NC_000010.11, from coordinate 8,137,080 downwards.
TAAAGAATGAATCACAAATTTAAGCATCTTAAATATAGACATAAAAAGAAATAATTAACCCTCAAACAGGAAGCTGCTGCACTATCAGATTGCATCATTTGAGAACCCAAAAAAAAGCAAGTCAGCACACTGAAAGCATGAGAAAGGCAGAGGTTACTCTTCTGGTGGGGTTTCAATATTCTGTTCATTTCTACAGATATGTTAGGAAGGTCCTTAAATGAGCAGAAGAGTCTATTCATGGGACTATGAAACTACCTCAGTGGAAACGCCCTCTGTTCTTTGGAAAGCAGCACTCTTCAGATGGGTCCAGCCTTAATCCCTCCCATCAGGAGAGCATTGCATTGCATGAGGCATTCAGCATTGTTGTTATAAGGAAACATCAACCCCAAAGCAGACAAACACCACAGTTTTATAAAGAAATTTCACTCGTGTGTTATTTACCCTCAGCTCCATTTCAAACACTGTCTAAGAATTCTTTATTGTCATTCTCTGGATAATCACAACAACTCTTTATCTCAGATTAGAAGATCCTAGAAATAAGAGGTCGAGGTCTCATTCAACTAAGTCTTATTGTTTTCCTTGAAGAGCCAAAAATCCCAAGGCAGAGCCATATGGCATTCACAGATGATGGTGAAAATGGGCTTGATGGTTGGTGCCACATAGTGAAACCCACATCAGGAACCAGAAGCCATGGAGTCTAGATTCAATTACTTTATCTGCATCTTGATGATGGCAGAAGAATAATACCTCATCTCACCCAGTCTCAGTATAGTTGTCTGTAAAATACAGATAACAAGGACTACCCTACTTCTCCATACAGGGCTCTCAGGAAGTCCAAATGAGATCATTTTTTGAGAAGAGCTTTGGGACGAGCGTGATGGCTCACACATATAATCCCAGCACTTTGGGAGGCCGAGGAGGGTGGATCATTTGAAGTAGGGAGTTTGAGACCAGCCTGGCCAACATGGTGAATGAAACCCTGTCTCTACTAAAAATACAAAAACAATAGCTGGGCACGGTGATGAACACCTGTGTTCCCAGGTACTCAGGGGGCTGAGGCAGGAGACTCGCTTGAACCCGGGAGACAGAGGTTGCAGTGAACTGAGATCACACCACTGCACTCCAGCTTGGGTAATAGAGTGAGACTGTGTCTCAAAAAAAAAAAAAAAAAGAGAGCTTTGAAAAATTATAAAATCATATGGGTCATGTGCTTATGACAGGTAGCCTAAGAAAGTTCTAAAATCCAGTACAATTTTTACCCCATTTGAAATAAGGTGTTCATGTCCTTGGAGTTCACTTTGTGTCCATCTGAATGAAAAATAAATTTCTTAACTGGACACAGTGGCTTACGCCTGTAATCCCAACATTTCAGGAGGCCAAGGCAGGAAGATTGCTTGAGCCCAGAAGTTTGAGACCAGCCTGGGCAACATAGTGAGGCCCCATCTCTACAAAAAAAAAATTAATAGAAAATATGAGCCAGGCATGGTGGTGCATGCCTATAGTCCCAGCTACTCAGGAGGCTGAGGTGGGAGGATTGTTTGAGCCTGGGAGTGTGAGGCTGCGATGAGCTGTGATTGCACTCCAGCCTGGGTGGTAAATAAAGTAGAAAATACATTTTTTGGCACTTCTTGGTATCTGTGAACTCCTCCACATCAAAGTCGGAGAGAATAGGAAGGATTATCTCTTTTACTCCTGTTATAGTAGCTCAGATTTTAGTTTTCTCAAAATACCCCCCTCTCCCTAAGAGCACTCGTGTTGCTGCTTCTCTCTGTCTTTGGACCCATCTTGGCATTTTCCATTCACAAGCACTGAGTGCCACGATGGCTGGCAATGTCCTCTAAATCCACACTTCACTTCTCCACATGTCGATTGCCTTTAAAAAGTACCTAAACTGAGTGCAATTCCACCATTTTATTTTTATTTTATTTTTATTTATTTATTTATTTTTGAGACAGAGTCTTGCTCTTGTCCCCCCGACTGGAGTGCAATGGCGTGATCTCGGCTCACTGCAACCTCCGCCTCCCAGGTTCAAGCAATTCTCCTGCCTCAGCCTCCTGAGTAGCTGGGATTACAGGCACCTGCCACCAGGCCCGGCTAATTTTTGTAGTTTTAGTAGAGATGGGGTTTCACCATGTTGGCCAGGCTGGTCTCGAACTCCTCACCTCAGATGATCCGCCTGCCTTGGCCTCCCAAAGTACTGAGACTACAGGCGTAAGCCACCGCGCCCGGCCAATTCCACTATTTTAAGTGGCATTTTAGAAACATATACTTAATATGCTCATAATACATGGTTATTTGAAAAGCACAGGTTACAAAATTATATGTACTATAATCCCATCTAACACACACACACATCCTAAAAAAGTGAGAGGATGCACATCAAAACACGCTTATACATAGTTATCTCCAGGTAGCGAGATAAAATTTTAATTTATTTTTCTTTGCGCTTATCTGTATTCTCTATAGTTTCTAAAATAAGCGTATATTTATTTCAGAAAAAGAAAAGAATGTTATTTTTAAGTGCTGTTTCTCTTCTTCTGTAGAAAGGAACATATTGTACTAAATAAACCAAGGACAAAGCATCCTCCCCTAACTGAAATTGCCTTCATCATGGCTCTAATGATCTAGAGAGAATAAAGTAATCACCTATCATGGTGACCCGCAACCTTTTTCCACCATAAGAAAGTTAATATTGATTTAATACATACATATGGGTATATATGTGACTGAGTGAAAAATCTCAAGAAAGAGCATATACACTGTTCTTACATTTGAGGAACTCTGACATTTTTATATTCCTTCCTATTGCAGTATTTTAATGCTAGTTGCATTAAATTGAATTCCCCAACCATGGTTGGAAGCGACCTGATCTATTGCAAATTCCTTGTTTTATAAAATTAGGAGCCTTACCATCAAGCTCAAGCTTGCTTTCAGGAATGAAAAGCAAGTCATCATAAAGAGTATCCTTTGGTGACATTGTTTCTCCATCTGTTACCTGAGGTCTCTCCAAGAGTGAATTACACTATGGCTCTCTGATCCAGATCTACATGTGTTCAGTGCCCAAATCAACCGATACCAAGATACATTGTCAGACCACTGATCTCCTGTGAGGATGTTAATGAGACCAGTTTCTTGGTTCTAGACATGATCACATCAGAAGTGATGGTGTCTCTTGGAAATGAGCGTAAGCTCCCCTGAGCTTAGAAATTGGTATGAATAAAAGTGGTGAAAATGAACCCAAATCTCAATGATAAGCTGGTGTATTACACAGGCACAACTCACGGCCTTCTGTCCTCATCATCTTCCTGTCTTTTGATCAATTAGAAAACTACACAATGATCATCTTCTTCAAGATTATAGAATCCAAGTCACCACGCAAGTTACGCTGAGCTAAGGAATATCATTATTTCTAAGACCAGTCCCTTCCCGAGTACACAGTTTCCCTTTTTGGTGTCACCACACAAACAATGGCACTCAAACTAGAAATGCAAGGAGTGGACGGAAACAGCAGTGAATAACAGCACGCTAAGATTCTCGGCTTGGAGGACTCTGCTCCCCTACCAAATCAGGATGGTTCATTCACATGTTGATGTGATCAACGAACACCAACAAATTCTTGTGGTGCCTTCTTCACTGCTCTGTAGATGAATTTCTAACCGACATGACCGACATTTATGGTCAGAATGCTTTCTAGAATGATTCTGCCACTGAGAGTGTGGTTGTGGCCATAATGTCCCTAGACTGAGGTTTCTGGAGTTTCCATTCGTGGTCTGGGCTGAGATGATGTGATTAAGCTTCACATCTGCTACGGGTTTGAGGTGGAGGAAAAAGGGAACTGGAATCGTTCTCACCTCATCAATTCTGACCACATCCTCCCTCTCCAATTACCCCAAGAGAAGGAAAAAGAAAGATACCAGGAGGAGAAAAAGATGACGGGAAGAAATAGAATAGAAGAAAAAAAGAAAAGATCGGGGAAGGGAAGAGAAGAAGGCTGGAGGGAACCTCCAAAATGGATTATTCTCAGAGACGAAAGCTCGGAGCTTAAGTCTCTAAAACACCGAAGCACTAGTGAATCTTTGTTTTCGTTTTTGTTTCTCTTCCCTCCTTTTTTCCTCAAGCTATCTACTAACTATGAAATTTTAAATGACTTATTATCTGTGAGCATTCAAAACAGGGTCTTCAGCAATACATTATGTGTAGTATTGCTTTTGTAAGCACAGCACCCAGGCATACTTGTCATAATGGTGGCATATTAGACAATAACAGCTTCCAGCTGGGCACAGTGGCTCACTCCTATAATCCCAGCACTTTAAGAGATCAAGGGGGGCTAATCATCTGAGGTCAGGAATTTGAGACCAGCCTGGCCAACATGGTGAAACCTCATCTCTACAAAAAATACAAAAATTAGCTGGGTGCAGTGGCACATTCCTGTAGTCCCAGCTACTTGGGAAGCTGAGGCACTTGAACCTGAGAGGCAGAGGTTGCAGTGAGCCGAGATCACACCACTGTACTCCAGCCTGGGCAATAGAATAAGATTCTGTCTTAAAAAAAAAAAGAAAAAAAGAAAAAGAAAAAATAAAGCTTTCAAATAAAGATTTTTTTTTCCTAAATAAGGACACAATATTACTCTGTCATACATATTATTTTTCAAATAATGTTCATTTCTTTGGGGTTTTTTGGCTAGTCAAGTGATATAGTGGGCATAAAGATGGAACAAAGAAACCTGTAATGGGCCGGGCGTGGTGGCTCACGCCTATAATCCCAGCACTTGGGGAGGCCAAGGTGGGAGGATCCCTTAATCTCAGGAGTTCAAGACCAGCCAGGCTACACAGTGAGACCTCATCTCTACTAGAAATTAAAAAATTAGCCGAACATGGTGGCATGTGCCTATAGTCTCAGCTACTCGGGAGGCTGATGCAGGAGGATAGCTTGAGCCCAGGAAGTTGAGGCCACAGTGACCTGTGATCGTGCCACTGCACTCCATCCTAGGCAACAGAGCAAGATCCTGTCTGAAACCCAAATAAAAGAAAAAAGAAAGAAAAGAGATCTGCAACTGGTTGTGATCAATTGACACTCTGCACTCGGACCAGCCTCAGATAAAGTTTCTTTCTAAGTACTTTAAGTAGCCTAGTGGTCCTGGAACCCAGTGAAAGTGGCAAGCAGGGGGTGTAGGCAAGTGCAAGTTAAGGAGTAAAGAGATAAGAAACAGAGCCCCATTCCCTTCATAGCACTGCACACTTCAGAGTATTTTACCATGTCCCTGAGCAACAGGTACACCTTATACCCACAGTGGGGCACAGATTCTCAGAAGCATTGCTATTATCCCATCCACTACTTCCCCTTTCTATTTCAGGAAATATCTGACAAGGAAATTTGCGTAACCTGCCGAAGGCCAGGTGGTGGCTGGGTTGGATGTGTAATTCAAGTGTCCTCCTGTTTCTTTCTAATCCTGTCTTCTGACCACCAGGCAGAATTATCCCTTCCAATGCTACTTTGAGTCACATGGAGTCTACCTCTGCCGAGATCAAAACCACCAGTTCAAAAATGGAAAACCCAGTCGACCAGTTTGTTTCACCTACATGCAACCGAACAACTAGTCGGACGGATCTGAGTCACCAACTGGACTCATTTTTTTTTTCAACGAATGAAACTAACTTTTCTGGCAGGATAGAGACTAAGTCATAATGAGTCACCAGAGCAGAAGTTATGGAACACTATTCAAAATAGCAGGTGATCAGAATATTACCATTTCAAGAGATCATTGTGATGAGACCCTCCCTTAGCCACCAACAGATTGCATGACTGAAAAACATAAATAAAGCCTGTCACTGGCTTTAACAGAATATCCCAGAAAGTGATATCTATAAGCAACCACACTGAGGGGGTTGATAGTTGCTAGTTTCATTCACTCCTGCATTTGCCCATTCATTTGTATTGCATGCCTATTGTGTGCCAGAAACTAAGCTAGATGCTGTGTAGCATTCAAAAATAAACAAACATGGTCCCTGCCATCATGGAGTTTACAATAGAAAATTAGAGATTAGATACAAGTTAGACAAGATAGACCAGGCACAGCAGCTCACACCTGTAATCCCAGCACTTTGGGAGGCTGGAGTGGGAGGATCGCTGGAGCCCGGGAATTCCAGACCAGCCTGGACAACATGGTGAAACTCTGTTTCTACAAAAAATACAAAAAAAATTAGCCGAGCATGGCGGTGTGCGTCTGTAATCCCACCTACTTGGGAGGCTGAGGTAGGAGGATCGCTTGAGCTCAGGAGGCCGAGGCTGCAGTGAGCCGAGATTGTACCACTGAACTCCAGCCTGGGTGACAGTGAGACCATGTCTCCAAAAAAAAAAAAAAAAAAAAAATTAGGATAAAATAAGGGCTAAATTCTAAAAGCCTCTGTATGCATCATGAGATCGTAGAAGAAAAAGTGATTGATCTCAGCAGTGACAGCTCTGCCAGGAGGCATTGGTATCTGATCGAGAAACTCTGGAGCCAGGAGATCCAGGAGCATAGGAACTGAAGCCCTAAATATCCATACTTGAGAACCAACGCCTGATCCAGCGCAGGAAACCAAAGGAAACGAACCCATGGAAGGAGCAACCCAGGTCAAAGACCGAACTACAAATTCTAGCTTCTCCTATAGCTCAAAAAACAGTCAAAGTGAGGGTAAAAGTAATAAACATCAGAGTTTTGAAAAGGAAAAAAAAAAAGAAGTTGTGGGGGAGGTTACATGTTGTTTATTGCCATGTGTAAAGCAATATGCTAGGAGCATTATATAGGTTATCTCATTTAGTCTTTGCAACAATCCTACCAACTGGATATCTTTATTCCTATTTTACAGATATCATCAGTGATCCCTACAGAGCTTTATCAGTGTATGAGGGACTTTCACATGTAGTGTATCATCTAATCCTCACATTTCTTGCCCAATAAGTAGGACAGGAATATCCACTTATGAAGGAAGAAACTGAGGCTTTGGAACCTAAGCAGCTAGCCCAGGAGAGTGGTAAAGCCACTGCGATATTTCCATTCTGTTGCTAGCCTTTCATAGCCAACTACAGAGCCGATTGACCCACTCACTTTCTCCCCAGTTCAGTTTTTATCTATTTTACTAGATAATCAATCCAGTTATCTGAAATCCAGCTGACATGATCCCAGATTTGTAAAAGCAGCCTACAAATGGCTCATGGAAGAGTTGGAAAATTCAGCATTCCCCATTCTTGGAGCAGCCAATGTTGAGTAACATCCCCATAGACCTTTTAGGGATACATGACTGTGCCCTCTTACTTGAGAATGACAGCTCAGTCTGAATGTGTTGTCAGATCTACATAGCCCAAGTGAAGTGCCACAGCCCTGAGAGAATGCAAGATTATTTAGGGAGTATGTTGCAGATTGACCTGGAAGAAAACCAAATCATGATTGCCCAAGTCTCAACAAAACTTAAAAAAAGAAAAAAGCAAGTCTCACTTGGCAACTGTACGAAGACCACACCTTACCCTACACATACCTGGCCTTCATCATTCTTGCATAAGGGTGTTTCAGAACATCCAATAAAACATTTCAAGATAAAGCTCCTTCGACTTTGAGCACTGTTTTAAAAGTCCTCAGGCAAAGCAGGTCCTGAATTTCTCCAAAAACATAATTTAGCAACCATAACAAATAAGCCAGTGATTTGATAGGCTACAGCCCATTGCCAACAGAAAGCTCAGGATCACAATTTCCCATTAAGTATCTCTGTCACAAGGGTATTGACCCATTGAAATTCACCCCAAAGTGTTATTACGAGTCCAAAAAGCATAAAGATACGGGGAACCATGAGAGACGATTTCTCCCATTCCTGCCTCTCAAGAGAGTCACTTTCTGATGAAGAATCACTCTTTTCTCAGAGATCTCCCAAACCAAAAATAAGTCCTAGCCATGGATTTGATTCTGATATGCAACTTGCTCACATCTCAGCAATATTCGAGTCCAAGCTCATACTATAAACAGCTCCCCTGAAAAATAAACACCACCTAAGGCAATAGGCCAAAGACTACAAAAAAAAATTAGTACGAATCTAATGGGAAAAAAGGAAAACAAGCTCTGATGTTCTTGTCTCCCTATATAGCTTTAGCAAGAAAGACTATCTGCCTAGAAAGTCACAAGAACCTACCAAATGAACACACACAGCACCACACCTAGCCCACTGTGTACTTGTACCATAGAGCCAACCATTTCATCACTTTGAGCTCCCATTTCCTCATGTGTAAAATAAGGATAATAATAGCTGTTTCCTATTTACTCTACAATGGTATATGGAAGATTAGCAAGATACTGTTTGTAAAAGTACTTTGATCTCTTCTGAGATAGGGTACTAAGTAAATTTCAGCCGGCGTTACTGCCACACGTTGGCACACATGAAACATGAATGGCCACTGGGCAATAAAGAACTGGTCATCATAAGGTAGAAACAGAAAACAGGATAAGGTGCAAGGAGAGCAGAAATCCAAGATGTGTGATTAGAGTGAAAACAGAGGTCTTACATCTGATCAACAGAAGAACCCAGTGAGGAAACAGAAATGAATATGTCCAAAGAGAGAAGCACATGGCAGGACAACCTGACCCAATTCTTGGAAACCAGTCACCAGATCAGAAATCAAAATAAAGTGCACTGGATGTTTATTCAAGAAGCTCCTAAAATCTGAACGTCTCTAGAAAGGCTTCCCAGCCTCATAGAAACATGGCTAGCCAATTCTCCCATTCTACCCTTTCTGTTCTGGGGAATCTCCTTCTGGAATTTACCGTGATATAATTTGCAGTTTTCCCTGCACTTAGGCTTAATGGGAATGCTGTTTGTGAAGAATTAAAAAAAAAAAGCAAAAAGAAAAGAAACTTTTTTTTGAGACAAGGTCTCCCTCTGTCACCAAGGCTAGAGTGCAGTGGCATGATTATAGCTCATGACAGCCTCAGTCTCCTGGGCTCAAGTAATCCTCTCATTTCAGCCTCCCAAGTAGCTGGACTACAGGTGTGTGCCACCACTCCTAGTTATTTTTTTTTTTTTTTTAGAGAAGGGGTCTCACTATGTTGCCCAGGCTGGTCTTGAATTCCTGGGCTGAAGCAATCCTCCCCAATTGGCCTCCCAGAATGCTGGGATTTATAGTGTTAGTTTCTTCATTTAATATGTTTCTGTGCTATTTTCTGTTTTTTTCCTTCACATTGCTTCATCCCAATATTGTTATGTTTTCTAATATTTTCAGGCAAAGACTCTGTCCAAACAAAATTATTTTGACCAACCCAACTTGTCATTACTTTGCTCAGCCTACATACATTGTGCACCTACTATGTGTCTGAAGGAAGCTAACAGAATGAGTTTTGTGAACAGGTAAGTGCTTAAGCATTTAATCTTAATAGTGATCTTAATAGTTTTATGTTCCTTGTAAGCAATAAAATATTCTCAATTCAGCTGTTAAAAGAAAAAGCGGCAATATATCTGCATGATAACATCAGAACCATCAAAAACACAATGCAAATACTCTAGTGTTGATGCTCTGAACTTCAGAAACATATCCCCATGATGAGTGGGGCAAATGTCACCAAAATTACACTTCGATATTTGTGTTTGTCCTTCTCTGGCCTTCTCCAACTCTAGGACAACTTGAATCCCACAACATATTCAAGAAATGAGGTGGGATGCAATGGTTCATGCTTGTAATCCCAGCACTTTGGGAGGCCGAGATGGGAGGATCAGTTGAGGCCAGGAGTTCGAGACCAGCCTGATCAACATAGCAAAACCCCCATCTCTTATAAAAAAAAATCAAAAAAATAAAAGAAAGAAAAAGAAATGAAACTCTTTTTTGCCAAAGCATGGATGAGGGTGTCTATTTTGTTCTCAAAACTCTTCTGGTGGAACCAGGAAAGACTCAATACCTGAACATCCACCAGGTGCTCAGTAAATAAATCAATATGTTGTGGATTGATTACTTGTCATTCAGGAGTCTCAGAGTGGTCCTGGACCACGATCCAGGTTGCTATGTGAGAACTCCGGGTCAAGGTTTCTGCAACTCAGCTTTGGTCTGTCGCCTGGGTTCATTCATTTCCTCTCGTCCACATAGTAACACAACCTGCTGCTTTTCCGCCTCCTTGCACTCCCCTGGGCTCTCCCTGCTCTTATTCCCATAGCATTTTACTGTCCAAAAGAGCCACCTGTCATTGACACACCTGGAGATTCTATCGTGAGCTCATTATGACAAATGGCCTCGAAAGAGACTGAAGACCAGGCAGAGTAAGCCCAGGCTTCTAGAGTTGTGTTTTTCCATCTTGCATCCTTGTAGTCACAGGGGGTATGTTATGCTATATGAAGAAGAAGATTGAAGTCAGACAAGTCCTAGGTGCTTTTACCTTTACCACATCTCTTCCTGGGTGTTCTGATACAGAACTTTAATTTTCAATATCATCTACATGGTGATGACTCCCAAATTCAGATCTCTAGCCCTGGCTTCCTATCCAATTCCAACTGGATGTCTTAAAGACACTCAAAATTAATGTGTTCAAATGACAACTCATGAGCCGGTCACAGTGGCTTGTGCTTATAGTCCCAATTACTCAAGAGCCTGAGGCAGGAGGATCTCTTGAGCCCAGGAGTTGAAGGTTCCAATGCACCATGATCATACCTATGAATAGCCACTGCACTCCGGGCTGGGCAACCTAGTGAGACCCTGTCTCAAAAAAAAAAAAAAAGAAGGCCAGGCACATTGGCTCATGCCTGTAATCCCAGCACTTTGGGAGGCTGAGGCACGTGGATCACTTGAGGTCAGGAGTTCAAGACAAGCCTGGCCAACATAGGAAAACCCCATCTCTACAAAATAAAGCAAAAATTATCCAGGCTTGGGGGCATATGGTCCCACCTACTCAGGAGGGTGAGGCATGAGAATCGCTTGAACCTAAGAGGTGGAGGTTGGAGTGAGTTGAGACCACACCACTGCTCTCCAGTCTGGGTGACACAGTGAGACCTCTTCGAAAGAAAGGAAAGAAAGAAAGAAAGAAAGAAAGAAAGAAAGAAAGAAAGAAAGAAAGAAAGAAAGAGAGAGAGAGAGAGAGAGAGAGAGAGAGAGAGAGAAAGAAAGAAAGAAAGAAAGAAAGAAAGAAAGAAAGAAAGAAAGAAAGGAAGGAAGGAAGGAAGGAAGGAAGGAAGGAAGAGAGAAAGAGAAAGAGAGAGACAACTTTTGATTTTCCCATCTTAGCCTATCTTCCCATAATCATCTCATTCAAGGAAATCACCATCCACTCGTTTGCTTAAGCAAACAACCTTGACTGAAATATTAAAACATTTAGAAAATAGAGGCTGGGAGATAGAGTAGATTTCTTTGATTTCCTGGGTTGATTCTTTTTATATGTGTAGTATCAGCCCTATGGTAAGAAAGCATAGAAACAAAATAAGTTTTAACAAGACTGCTAGACCAAAATCTCAAATCAAATAGAATAAACTCTCCTATTTTCAATCATATAATGATACAAACTCTTACACATGTGACTTCTTTGGTTCCTTGGAAAACCTCTTAGCCTCTCTATGGTTTAATATAGAAGACAATTGTTTGCACTTTAAGCAAATAAACATGTGTGTTTGGTCCTATGCCCATTTTAGAGCAAAATTTTTTAAATTTCTATATAACATGCCTGATGGATCTTGTGAAAAATCATGTTGCGATACGCAAACGCCTTATCTAAAGTATTATATCCATTATTTTTGGGGAAAAAAAGGTGCTTTTCCATCTCCCCAAGATCCTCGAGTTCAACTAGACATTTCCTATATAAATGTTTTGTTCTGCCTTTTCCTTTTTGGTGGGTGCCCTTTTCTCCCTTCCCCACCACCCGTGCTCCTTCCCAGTCTGCCCCTGGCCTCCAGACCTGGGGATCAGTTGAGGTAGGGTCCCTGGTATTCTGTACCCTCCTCCCTTTGTTTCTGTTGGTTGTCACTCCTGCTGAATGTATTGCTTTTTAATACTGCACTGCAGGTTTTTTTTAAATAAAATAGTTTGGAAAGTAAAAGAGAAAAAAAAAAGTATTATATCCATTTGGTTTGCCTATTACCATAGTTCCTGTTAAGACTTGTTAATATAAAATTGACAGTTTCCAGACTAACCAGCAATCAAACAATGCAAGCAAATGGGGTCATTTGATTCAATCACTAAAACAACTAAAATAGCTCAGACCACTGACTGGAGCACACTAGAGCCACTTCTCGGTAATTCATCTGCATTAACTTCCCACATTCACTATGGTGCTTGGTGCAGATGGAGCCATACAGTGCCCAAAGCCTGAGGCTGACTTTAGAGTCAAACTCCCCTCCATTCATTTTCATATGTCAGGCAGCACCTACAAAAAACAAGAATAAGGCAAGATTTCATGTTCATTTCTTATGCTCTGGTGCTTTTTTTAAATTTATTAATTAATTAATTAATTAATTTATTTATTTATTTATTTATTTATTTTGAGACAGGGTCTTATTCTGTTGCCCAGGCTAGAGTGCAGTGGCACGATCACGGCTTATTGCAACCTTGACCTCCCAGGCTCAAGAAATCCTTCCACCTCAGCTTCCCAAGTAGCTGGGACTACAAGCAAGTGCCATCATGCCTGATTTTCATGTTTTTTGTAGAGACAGCGTATCACTCCGTTGCCCAGGCTGGTCTTGAACTTTGGTCCTGCCTTAGCCTCCCAAAGTGCTGGATTTACAGGTGAGCCACTGCACCCAGCTAGTGCTTTTTTATGTATCTGGATTTCAGAGTAAGCACGCACCTAGGAGTGAAATGGAGTTCCTGAAGACTTTCTTCGGAAAGGCATAGCTCTACCACCAACCAAGTATCTTCTCACTGCTGGGAACTTCAAAGCAAACCCATTAGCTGTCTCTGAGGTTTGTTTTAAAGACTTGGATTGGGCCGGTGATGTGGCTCACGCCTGTAATCCCAGCACTTTGGGAGGCCGAGGTGGGCAAATTACGTGCAGTCAGGAGTTCGAGGCCAGCCTGGCCAACATGGTAAAACCCTGTATCTACTAAAAATACAAAAATTAGCCAAGTGTAGTGGCAGGTGCCTGTAATCCCAGCTATTCAGGAGGCTGAGGCATGAGAATTGCTTGAACCCGGGAGGCAGAGGTTGCAGTGAGCCGAGATCGCAGCACCGCCCTCCAGCCTGGGTGACAGAGTAAGACTCTGTCTCACAAAAAAAAAAAAAGAAAAAGACTTGGGTTGAATGATACTCCATAGAAAATTCATGTTTTTTTCTGTACATGTGTCCTAACTGGTCTCATGTCTGTGGTAACACGACCATGCCTAAATGACCACCTTCTTGGGAACATCATTAGTGCAGAAGCTCTACAGAGAAAAGCAACCTTCCTGAAGACAGTGAGGGCAGGCACAAAAGCTAGGGCAGACTAAAAGATCAGGGCGAGCAGAGCCACCTGGAGTGGGAAGTCATTTCCTCCCTCCTATAGCAACACCAGATGACATGCAAACGCCAGCAAAAATACATTGCTTCCATTGAAAAGTCATGATTCTGTGCATGTACTTCATAACTTTCATCAGCTCCCTAATAGCATTTGGTCTTTGAGTCCTTTTCACGTGTAGGAAACTGGGTCAGTGACCACAGGATACTACCAAGAGAGAGGCTAAGGCAGGAGGATTGCTTGAGCCCGGGAATTTGAGTCCAGCCTGGGCATCCTAGCAACATCCCACCTCTAAGATAGATAGATAGATAGATAGATAGATAGATAGATAGATAGATAGATGATAGATAGATAGATAGACAGACAGACAGACAGATAGATAATTGATAGATGGGTGGATGAATGGATGGATAGATATAGATAATAGATTAGATAGATAGATGATGATGATGACAGATAGTAGAGATAGATGATAGATAATAGACAGATGATCGATAGATGGGTGGATGGATAGTTAGATAGAGATAATAGATAGATTAGATAGATGATAGATAGGTGATAGATATATGATAGATAGATAGATAATAGATGATTGATAGATGGGTGAATGGATGGATAGATAGAGATAATACATAGATAAGATAGATGTTAGATGATGATAGATAGATAGATAGATAGATAGATAGATAGATAGATAGATAGAAGATAGATAGGAAAACCAAGAGTGTAGACTAGCAATGAACCACAGGCTAAAAGGAGCATTTTTGTCTATGGCCCAGTCCCAAAGGAATTAAAGAAAACCCACGTTTCTGTGGATTTGCCAGAGAATGAAAAGAGTCAAGCCAGGATGGATTTGAATGAGTTCCTTCTAAGATGTTGGTGATGTAAACCAGGCGTGTCTAGAAGCATGCAAAGAACAGGCTGCAGGGAAAACTGTTTCCCGCAAAGCAGTGGAGGCGCTCATTCAAATCATACTGACTCTCAATGCAAAGCAGGGTAGGTTTTGTTTTTCTCTTTTTGGCGTTTCCGAAGAAAGCCTAATGGGACCTTTTTCCATCACTTTTCTACAATTCTATCAGAAGCTGTGCAACCCAACAAAACCACATATGGAAACGTGTTTGGGAATTGTAAACTATACACAAATACATGTGGGTACACAAATATGTATATCCACGAGTATGTGCACCAATATATTATTCCACAAAATATGACATTAGAACAATTTCCAAACCATTTTCTACAAACAATGAAATATAATTGTAAAGTCTTAATTCACTAATTTTGTGAACTTTTATTAAGGACCGTGACGTGCCTTTCTCTTCATGGGGCTTTTGGGGTGGAAGACATTCTTTGCCCTCAAAGAGCTCACAGTCCAATGGGGAGGGCAAAGAAGCAGATTCTGTTCAATGTTGGATAAATGTTTTGACACAGATAAACATATGGTTCTGCTGGATGCAGCAAGGGTTGGGCGTGGTGGCTCACACCTGCAATCCCAGCACTTTGGGAGGCTGAGGTGGGAGGATTGCTGGAGCCCAGGAGTTCAAGACCAGCCTGGGCAACATAGCAAGACCCCATCTCCACACACACAAAAAAATATCCAGCAGTAGTGGTGTGCACATGTAATCCTAGATACTCGGGAGGCTGAGACAGGAGGATAGCTTGAGCCCAGGAGTAGTTTAAGGCTCCAATGAGATCAGATTACACCACTGCACTCCAGCCTGGGTGACAGAGACCTTGTCTCTAAAAAATAAAAATAAATCTCCATTCCAGATCTGAGGGCAGGAGGAAGTTTGGGGAAGGCTTTCCTGAAAAGGTGACAAGTGAATCAGGTGAAGGGGTCAGAAAAGGTACAAGATGAAGAGAGAGCTTGCGGAGGGCTGCAGCGTGGCCCACAGGCTGAGAATGAGTGTGTGGACTGAAGACGCCTGTTGCTGTGGCATCCTGTGAAGGTTGCATGCTGTCATGAACAAAGGGAGTAGCTAGTGCAAGTTGCTAACCAGGGGAGAGGCATACTCATATTTGCACAGTAGAAAGCCCCCTCTGGCAGCAATTTGGAGATGACTGAAGTGGGCTGAGATGAAAGACCAAGAGACCTGTTAGGACACTGCTGAAAAAAATCCAAGCTGAAAAAATGATGAAGGCTTGAACGAATGCCATCCGAATACGTCTTCAGGTAATATCAACAGGATTTTACGACCAATTAGAGGTGAATGAGAAGGACTCGTGGCCAACCGCCAGGCTTCCGGTTTGGGTAGCAGGGTGGCTCACAATGCCATTGGCCAAAATAAGGAAATAAGAGTTCCCTCACTCTGCCTGCAGCTCTTTCTGACCTCCGTGTGATTCTAACTCTCATAGTCTCCACAAACTACAGGAAAATTCTGTGTCGATAGCTAATTGCAGTCCACTCCTTTCAGGCAATTTGGATCCTGGCCTTCTTTCTCCAAAAGGTGAGAAGGAGTCAGGAAGAAATTTTAACTGTGTGAGGCAGGTACATGACACGCAAACCAACCAGCCCAGTGAACTGCAGGCCAGGCAGAAATTTCTAAATTTCCAAATTTGTAAATTTTGAAAGGGAAGCAGGATAAAATCCTATGGCAAAAGGAAGAGTTTACTACAGAGGTGCTGGCCTTCACTCAGCATGCAAATGTTTATAGAGGTTGATTCCAAATTCACTAATGTCTTCGCAGAAATAAAGCCAAATTTGTATCTTCACTAAGTATACAGCCAGTGTGTGTGTGCGTGTGTGTAAAATGTATTTATTTTTAGAGTTGGGATTTTGCTCTGCTGCCCAGGCTGGAGTGCAATGGTATGATCATAGCTCACTGTAACCTCAAATTCCTGGGCTCAAGGGATCTTCTCTCGTCAGCCTCCACAGGTGCACAAGCTCACATGGGTGTATAGAATTAAGAGAAAACAGACAATGAAATAGAGGTATTCAATGTATTCTGCTCTGAGATGGGCATTTAGTAAAAAATAATAATAATAAAATACTGTATTCAATGGAAAATGGTATACATCTCAGAAAATATGGCATATCTCCTTGGGTCCTATTTTATACAGTCTTACTTTAGAGCATAAACTATGTTAAGGTTCCCACTCATTAGTTTTTATTGTGCTCAGAATTTCTTGGCTGGGCGCAGTGGCTCACGCCTGTAATCCCAGCACTTTGGGAGGCCAAGGCGGGCGGATCACCTGAGGTCAGGAGTTCAAAACCAGCCTGACCAACATGGAGAAACCCCATCTCTACTAAAAATACAAAAAATGTAGCCAGGCGTGGTGGTGCATGCCTGTAATCCCAGCTACTTGGGAGACTGAGGTGGGAGAATCGCTTGAACCCGGGAGGTGGAGGTTGCAGTGAGCCGAGATCACACCATTGCACTCCAGCCTGGGCAACAAGAGCAAAAAACTCCATCTCAAAAAAAAAAAAAAAAAGAGAGAGAGAGAGAGAATTTCTTCCAGCTCAGTCTGTATTCGTTTGGCTAACATGTCTAGATACACCTCCTATGTTCTGGTTTGGGAACTGTACATTTGAAATGATGGCTGCACCGCCACACAAAGGTGAAAGATTTGGGGAAAGAAATGTTTCCTGATACCTCTGCTTCCCTCTCATGGGGAAGGAAGATCCTGGGACCTACCTGGCGGCAGCATTTGGAAGGATTAATGAGTGTTTGTAGAGCACTCTCAGGTCTGAAGATGAAAGACATCCTATGAGCACACAGTCTAATTGATGTTTGTTATTTTGAATGTTTCACTAAAGGACTTTTCTCCACATAAATGAACACAGCCAGGAGCTTTGAGAAGGACATAGGATTGAAGAGTCTCAAGTGTGGTCTTTTACCAACTTTTTTTTTCAGCAATAATTTCAAACATGGCAATTTCCCACTCAGTAGTGATTATCTCTGCTAAAGAAGAAGACTGGCTGCAGGTGGTGTGATCCTTAGGCTGAGTCTATTTACAGCCAAAACAACCATTTAATTCCATTTCTTCGGTAGTAAATTAATACAGAAATAAATAAATAAGCTCAGGCCTTTGATGGGCTAAATGAGCTACTTTTCTACCTATTTTTAAGCGGTGTTGAAACAGTTTTATTTCTCTTATACATGGGAAATAAATAGATGATCAAACATTTGAACATTATACTGTATATTTGGCTTGGCTTCGTTTTCCAATAAGTTGTTTTCATAATTCAAAGGCTCAAGGGAAAATCAAGTTGGTTCATTCCATTTTCAAGACAGGCCCCATTTTACTTTATAATTTAGCCATAAGTTGTTGACCAATACCCAACTCATTCCCCCACTCCTGGTCAAATGTCTGTGGGTCCCAGGCTAAGGAAGACGCATCAGCGTTAGGTCATACCTGGGCACTAAGGCAATGGTGCTGCCCTGAATCTAAGTAGAAGAAACTTTTTGCTTCTCCCAGGCCAAGCAAGCTAACAGTCTTCCTTTTCCATTCTTCTCTTCTTCATAATAATTCATATTATTTAGGCTGGGCATGGTGACTCACACTTGTAATCCCAGCACTTCATGAGGCAGAGGAAGGAAGGTCATTTAAGGCTAGAAGTTCAAGACCAGCCTGGGGCACATAGTGAAATCCCACCTCAAAAAATAAATAAGTAAAAAAGTAAATAAATAAATAAAAATTCATATTATTTAAGACTGAAGAAGGAGATTACAAACTCAACTTCAAGCACATCCTCCATCAAGCCAGAGAGTTAAGTTCCTAAATCAGCAGATACAAATGAAAGGACATGAGTGACCACAGATTAAATGCCGTCTCTTTTCAGATTTCTTTGAAGTTGCCAACAATGAGAGAAGCAAAGACACTCTATGGAACTTGGCCACCATTTACATAGATCTTTCAAAATTTAATTTCACCAACCAAGCTTTAGGCCAGCTCTCCTAGAGTTAGCCATGTCTGAAGAGATTGGACTTCAGGAAACGTCTCTAGGAAATTCATGTCTTTATCTGTCATGGGTCCATCTGTCTCCAAAGAAAACACCTGCAGTTTAGTTTCAGTTCTTGGTGGAAACATCTCCAAAGTAAGGCAGAAAGCCTGGTCACTCCATTCCCAATCTCTGCCTCCACTCCTGCCCTCCAGTCTAGAGAGGGTACTCTTCAGGCCTTGCCTTTGTTATGTTTTTCTCCTTCAAAGCTTTCCCTCCATGCTTTTTTTGTTTTTGTTTTTGTTTTTTGACAAGGTCTCATTGTCACCCAGGCTGGAGTCAGTGGTGTCATCATGGCTCACTGCAGCCTCTTCCTAGTGAGCTCAAGCGATCCTCCTGAGTAGCTGGGAGTACAGGAGCACACCACCACACCAGGATTATTTTTTTCCTTTTTTTTTTTTTTTTTTTTTTTTGGCAGAGACGGGATCTCACTCTGTTGCCCAGGCTGGTCTTAAACTCTTTTTTTTTTTTTTTTTTTTTTTTTGAGACGGAGTCTCGCTCTGTCGCCCAGGCTGGAGTGCAGTGGCGCAATCTCAGCTCACTGCAAGCTCCACCTCCTGGGTTCACGCCATTCTCCTGCCTCAGCCTCCTGAGTAGCTGGGACTACAGGCACCTGCCACTACGCTCGGCTAATTTTTTGTATTTTTAGTAGAGACGGGGTTTCACCGAGTTAGCCAGGATAGTCTCGATCTCCTGACCCCGTGATCCGCCCACCTCGGCCTCCCAAAGTGCTGGGATTACAGGCATGAGCCACCGCGCCCGGCCTTGGTCTTAAACTCTTGGCCTC
Source organism: Homo sapiens (assembly GCF_000001405.40). NCBI lineage: Eukaryota > Metazoa > Chordata > Mammalia > Primates > Hominidae > Homo > Homo sapiens. The sequence continues at coordinate 8,117,928 of NC_000010.11, read as the reverse complement.
AAGTGATTCTCCAACCTTGGCCTCCCAAAATACTGGGATTATGGACAGGAGCCACCACATCCAGCCCTCCGCTTTTTTTTTTTAACATCATTTTGCCTTTAAAAATATTGTCTGGGCCAGGCACAGTGGCTCACGCCTGTAATCCCAGCACTTCGGGAGGCTGATGCAGGTGGATCCCTTGAGCTCAGGAGTTCGAGACCAGCCTGGGCAATATGGTGAAACCCTGTCGCTACAAAAACATACAAACCAGGTATGGTGGCACACACCTATAGTCCCAGCTACTCTGGAGGCTGAGGTAGGGGGATCGCTTGTCCCTGAGAGGCAGAAGTTGCAGTGAGCCAAGATCATGCCACTGCAGTCTAGCCTGGGCAACAGAGTGAGATTCTGTCTCAAAAATAGAAATAAATAAATAATGTCTGTTGGAAAGGATCAATACACAACATGACTGCCCCCTGGGCACTATACTCCCTCCAAAGATGGCCCTGAATCTTAAACTGGAGTTCACCTCAAAACAGAGTTTTGCCCTGAACTACAGATGAGTCGGGGACTCTCTCGAGCAGTGCACAGCCCTTGCCAAGCTAGGGCTGGAATCGCACACACAGCACACGAGAGACAGGACAAGGCACTGTCAGAGGAATCCAAGCAACATAAAGCTCCATCCTGAAATCAGATTTCCACAAATAAAATTAAGCAAACGGCAGGGCAATGATCATCTATCTGTTAGAAAGGATGCCAATGACAGTAAAAGCTCTGTTATCAGACCACTGGGGGAGTGACCGCACGTCTGCTAAAAATTCAGGCTAGCTAAAGCTTTACGCCTATGGCCTCGGGAGCTTTGCCTCTTATCTCTTCCCTGGCTCTCCCTTTTAGAAATGAAAGAAAGTGGATCTGGTTTGTGTGCAAGTGACCATTTAACGGCTGCGGAGATGGAGAATTCATCTTGTTTCTCCAAAACCAGCAGGCAGAGTCGATGCCACTCCCCTAACCACCCTGCCCTGACTCCCCTTTGTGCCTTCTGCTCTGGTGGGCTTTCACTGGTGACCAGAGTGAAGATTTTTTGCCCTGGGCCATTTCTGGAATTCAGTTCTAATCCAGAGCTTTTTAAAATGGTATCTAATACTTCGGAGTTGATTTTACTACCAAAACTAGGTTTAACTTTCTATTAAATAATCTTCAAGTTATAAACTGTCAAAGCAGCATGGAAAAGTGAGCTCCAAGAAGTAGCAGAGATTGGCAGGAGCCTGGTCTCCTGGTGTCCACGTGGCTCCCCTGCCTTCGCCACTACCATCTGTATGGACTGGAGCAGTCGGTAAGCTTCCTTGCTCCCAGTTTTCCCATCTGTAAAATGGGAACATTAGACTAGGAGATCTGTGGGGCCCCTTCTCATCTAGGATTCTCAACATAACGTTTTTTTCTTTATTTTTGTTTTTGTTTTGGTTTGGTTTAGTTTGGGTTTTTTTGAGACAGAGTCTCACTCTGTCACCGAGGCTAGAGTGCAGTGGTGTGATCTCGGCTCACTGTAACCTCTGCCGCCCAAGTTCAAGCAATTCTCCTGCCTCAGCCTCCCGGCTAACTGGGATTACAGGTGCCTGCCACTGCGCCTGGCTAATTTTTGTAGTTTTAGTAGAGACGGGGTTTCACTGTCTTGGCCAGGCTGGTCTTGAACTCCTGACCTTGTGATCCACCCACCTCAGACCTCCAAAAGTGCTAGGATTACAGTCATGAGCCACCACACCTGGCCAATTTTATTTTTAAAGACAGGATCTCCTTCTGTCTCCCAAGCTGGAATACAGTGGCGTGACCAAAGTTCACTGCAGCTTTGAACTCCTAGACTTAAGTGATCCTCCTGCCTCAGCCTCCCAAGTAGCTGGGACTACAGGCACATGCCAAGGCACCTGGCTAATTTTTTTTTTTTAAGAGAGATGGGGATCTCACCGTGTTGCCCAGGCTGGTCTCAAACTCCTGGCTTCAAGCCATCCTCCTTTCTCGGCCTCCCAGTGCACTGGATTACAGGCGTGAACCACCATGCCCAGCCTCTACATACCTTCAAGGGAGAAAAGTCTATGCTCTCGCTTACTCTTCAAGAGCCTCCAAATGAGTGTTGCCATGACAACCCACACCCTCTGAAAACTTTTACATTAGAGAACATGGCTAAGTCCTCTGGAAAATAAAGCTGGTTTTAAGTCACTAGTGCAAATTCTTTTAAAAGCCCTTGACATTCAAACTGGTCCACCCAAGATCATGAATGTCTGTTCATTCTCTTCTTTCTGAAAATATAGAGAGGACCTAGTAAAACTTGGCCTCAGCCTCTTTCTTTGAAACCAAGACACTGCATGCTGGAGTCAGAAGAAATGGAATGGGCTTTAAATCACCCCCAAGGGGATGCAGATGTGAGACCACCTTTCACCAAAAGCAGGGCCTTCCCACTCATTTGGAACAGCATAGGGATCCCCGTCACCTCAGATGTGCGTTGTCATGCAGCCTGGTGAAATCGGAGAGGCAGCTGCTGTGAGGTCAGGAAGTCCTGGAGTTGAAGCCTAGTCTATCATATATTGTGTAACTTTGGGTAAATTACTTAATCTCTCTAAACCTGAGCTTTCTTTTGTAGATAACAATAACTACCTTTCAGAATTGTGATGAAGATTAAATGGGATGATCTGTAAGGTGCCACACACAGTGCCTTGTACATACTAAATACTTGACAAATTGCAGCTATCCGTGTTCCAGTCAGTGGACTGAGGCTATCCAAGAGTGGCCTACGCAACTCCTGGAAAATGCTGGTGCAAAACCATCTTGCGCTGGCCAAGGGAGGCAGGTCCAGATTACCTCAGAGGCATTACTACCCCTCAGAGACCACTAAGAAATAAAGAACAGAAGGAGGCAAGGTTCTCTTCGTTAAGAACCTGAACTGACTCCTTCCTCTCACTACAGGGAAGAGAGGGACTGAGAAGAACTTTAGGAATGAAGGGAATTAACCCATGAAGCGATATGGCAGTTATCAACATGCTGATAACAACAGGGAAGTGAAGGAAACATCTGCATTTAAAGCTCAAAAAAGACCCAAGAAGCTGGGCGTGGTGGCTTATGCCATAATCCCAGCACTTTGGGAGGCTGAAGCAGAAGGATCGCTTGAGGCCGGGAGATCGAGGCTGCAGTGAGCCATGATTGCGCCACTGCACTCCAGCTTGCGCAGCAGAGCGAGACCCTGTCTCAAAACAAAAAAGCAAAAAACTCAAGGAGTGCTCTGTAAGAGATGAAGGCATCCATCTGGAAGAACCTGGATCATATTTCCCTTCAAAGTCATTTATTTTCCTCCCTGGTGTAGAAGGGGAAAGGTTAGTTGTTCTTGCATAAAAGGAAGTAGAATAGAAAAAGCGAACTGGATGCAGATCCGGTGGCTGTCAATCAGCACCATATTGGCTGCTGTTTAACTGCCTCCTCCCAACCTCAACCCAGAAAGGTGGTGCCTGGAAGGGTCCTGCCATAATAGCATCAAACTTCATCAACATCACATCTCATCCCAAGTCTAGCAACACCCAAAGGAGAGAAGGGCGAGTCAGAAACAGGGCTCAGTGGCATTCGCCCTCCTGTTGAGCTTCAAGGATTTGAGTAGGGTCCCACTGAAAGACTCAGCCTTTAGGCTTTCAGAGACATCACTTTTTTGGGAACCCAAAAGATAGAAAAGCCTGAAGAGCAAATGCTCCCTAGACTTTGGTGACGTCTTGTCTCTGTGTGACTGTCTATCATTAAAGATAATGGGGTAAAGGAGCATGTCATTAAGTGGGAAAGAGAGGTCATTATTTGTTACACCACCTCCCTTTAAAGGGAATATTTACAACAAAGAGCAATGACTAAAAGTCTTTAGGCCAGGCTCTTGACGGCAGCAGACATGTTATTGGTGACCCCACACCAGGTTCTAGGGTGTCCAGACAGACCCCAGGCCAGTTCCCTGTAGGAGGCAAAGTGGATTATTCCATCATCAAGAGCACTAGACTAGGAGTCAACAGACATGGGTTCCAGTCCCAGCTAGATTGAAAATGCGCTGTGAGACTCAGAAGAGCCACCATGTCATGGGGCCCTTTCTCATCTAAACAATGACGAGGCCATACAAAGCAATTCCTCAGATTCCAAAGTTAATAGTAACCGAGAGCATGGGCCTGGCCCTGGGTTGAGTCCTGGATCTGCCCCTTTGTACCTGTTTGACCTTGGCAATGTTCCGTAAAATGTCATGATAAGAGTATCTGCCTCGCAAGATTTAGGAACATTAAATAGTGAATGTATTGGGTGTACACTCTAAGGTGATTTAAAAAAAAAGAGAGAGAGGGGGTCTCTGTCTTCAATGTGTTTTTAATTTAGAAGTGGCACTGGAACAAGCACATTTGGTAGAAATTAATTAAAGGAATAAGATAGGTGTGTGGGTCTTTCTGTGCTTGTATGTGTGTCTCCGTGTGGGGGGTGGGGGCGTGTGTGTCTCTGTGTGTGTGTCTCCGTGTGTGCATCTGTGTATGTCTATGTGTGTGTCTGTGTGTGTCTCTGTGTGTCTGTGTGTGTGACTGTGTGTGTGTGCCTGAGTGTCTCTGTGTTGGGGGGGGGCGTGTGTGTATCTGTGTGTGTGTCTCTGTGTGTGCATCTGTGTATGTGTCTCTGTGTGTGCATCTGTGTATGCGTCTCTGTGTGTGCATCTGTGTGTGTCTCTGTGTGTGCATCTGTGTATCTCTATGTGTGTGTCTGTGGGTGTCTCTCTGTGTGTGTCTCTCTGTGTGTGTCTGTATGTGTGGGTGTGTGTGTCTGTGTATGTCTACGTGTGTGTCTGTGGGTGTCTCTCTGTGTGTGTCTGTGTGTGCAGGTGTGTGTGTCTGTATATGTGTGTCTGTGTCTGTGTGTCTCTGTGTGTGTCTGTGTGTGTCTCTGTGTGTGTCTCTGTGTGGATGTCTCTGTGTGTGTCTGTGTGTGTGACTGTGTATGTGTGTCTGTGTGTGTCTGTCTCTGTGTGTGTGTCTGTGTGTTTCTGCCTCTGTATGTGTGTGTCTGTGTGTGTGTGTCTGTCTCTGTGTGTGTGTGTGTCTGTATGTGTATGTGACTTGGGTTGGTACATTTCTTTATAAGAACTCCTTCTTAGCTAACAATTGCTGTGATGCTCCTAAAAGGCCCGCCTTAGTAGTTCTACGGAGACGCATGCTTCAGCCTCTGACACACAGCAGGCCCTGGAATAAGTGGGTCAGAATTTGTACAGAGATTAATGCGCCAGAGCTCAGTGTTGAAAAAACGCACAGTTTATAGGGACTGATGCCCATGGCTGCCTGCTTGCAAAAACAGGAAGAAAGAGAAGCAGAAATGAGACAGAAAATATTCCAAGCGAAATGAATGGGATTCTGGAGGTAAAATGGCAGTGGGAGCTAAGGAAACGCCAGCCTGTTTCTCGGCTGGGGCTGAGGCCACAGCCAGCAGGAGTAAGGTGGGTGAACCTCATTCCCAGGTCAGGCCCAGTGGCAGGCCGTGGCTGGCCAGGGCACATTCCTGCAGGCGCTCCAGGCTCACAGGGAAGGGAGCATGATGGCCCCACAGCATCAGCCCAAGCTGAAACAACTCCATGCAGCATCGCGTGCCTCTCCCAGGCCAGTATCCAGTTGTAGAGGGGAAAAACGTACACCCAGAGAGCTGGCAGCCAAGAAACAAAGCAGGGAAGAGAAACTTGAGGTGAAAACCACTCAAGGCCAGGCCCAGTGGCTCGCACCTGCAATCCCAACACTTTGGGAGGCAAAGGAAAGAGGATCACTTGAGCCCAGGAGTTCAAAACCAGCCTAGGCAATATAGCAAGACCATGTCTCTACAAAAAAAAAAAAAACCCACAAAAATTAGCTGGGCATGGTGGTGCACACCTGTAGTCCCAGCCATTTGGGAGGCCAAGGCAGGAAGATGGCTTGAGCTCAAGAGTTGAAGGCTGCGATGAGCTATGATTGTACCACTGCAGTCCAGCCTGGGCGACAGAGCAAGACACCATCAATAAATAAATAAATAAATAAATAAATAAATAAATAATAAACTCTCACAACCAACCTGAAGAGGAGGTCAGTGCCTGCCCAGCAGACAAAACCTCCCAAGCCAGCTCCTTCTCCTTCCAACCCCCTTGGTCTCCGCACAGGTCCCAGGACAAACACTTTCCTAGGAGGAAGCATCTGCTGAAGTCTGCAAGGTTAAGAGAGGAAACCCTGTGATGTTATGAAAACAAACCTATGTTACTTTTATAATAAGAAACTAACATTAAAAAAAAGAAGAAAAGAAAAAAACCTGTGATTACAAAAACCAATTTTGATTATTCTTCCTTTATTTTTTTTCTTTCTGTTTTTGAGATGAGTCTCGTTCTTTTGCCCAGGCTGGAGTGCAGTGGAGTGATCTCAGCTCACTACAACCTCCACCTCCCGGGCGTAAGCGATTCTCCTGCCTCAGATTCAAAGTCAATCACTTATCAATGGCATGGCTGGCTCAGGCCAGGATTCCATATCCCTTGAGAGAAAAGCAAGAGGGAAATATCTCTGTGCCATTCCATCGTCGTCACCGTCAACTCGTGTCCCACTCTCCTGACTTCTGGAGAACCCTCCAGCTCTTACAGTATTCTCGAAACACTGCCAGGGTTGATTTTCATACTTCAACTAGACTGCAAATCTTTTGAGGGCAGAAACTGTCTTTCCTCCCTTTCTGGCTGCCTTGGTATGGAATGAGCATTTGTTCAATATCACCAATATGGCCTTTCTCTGCCCATCCCAAGCCGTCGGCCTGGCCCCAGGTTCCCCCTCACCTCCTTTCTGCCTGCCAGGATTGAGCACCATTTCTTGTGATTTCACGAGAGAGAAACAGCTGCAGTTTGCTGATCTCTGTCTAACCAGGTGGCAGCATGTGTCAGTCTTCCCCAGGGCCCTGGTGTTTTGAATCCCAACTTCTGTGGACATCAAGAGATGATTCCAAACCCATCAGTCTCCCCAGGGCCGGCTGCCTGGTGATGTGGTCCACCTAATAATCATCTTATCCTTCAACCGCAGCTTCTATGAGCCTCTTCAAAGCCTTTTGCGATCATTAGCTAATTAAGTCACAGCCCTGCCCTGGTGACTACAGTTATAATTCCCACTTTACAGATAGGGAAACTGAGGCAGTTTTTAAGTGAGCTCCCTCAGGCCAGAGTCAGTGTCTGAGCCAGAATTAGAAGTTACAGGTGTCTAATTCTGTGTTTCAGCCGCTATACCTCACACCCTTTTTATTCTAAATAAATGGTTCCTGAGTACATGGGTGGAGAGGTCTCTCCCCTAGGCTGTGTTCACAGTTTTTGAGAGAGTAAGAGTTGAATTGTCTCATTCAGTACTTTTGTGGCTCTGCAGGCTCAAGCTGAGTTTAGCTTCAAACAGGGGCCGTAAACAAAGAGTCAAAAAGGACCAAAAATGGGCTTTCCCTGGAATTTTTATTTACTTATTTATTTATTTATTTGTTTGAAACAGAGTCTCACTCTGTCACCCAGGCTGAAGTGCAGTGGTGCAATCTCAGCTCACTGCAACCTCTGCCTCCTGGGTTCAAGGGGTTCTCCTGCCTCGGCCTCCTGAGTAGCTGGGATTACAGGCCCGCGCCACCATGCCTGGCTAAATTTTTTTTTTTTTTTTGTACTTTAAGTAGAGACGGGGTTTCACCATGTTGGCCAGGCTGGTTGCAAACTCCTGACCTCAAGTGATCCTCCTGCCTCGACCTTCCAAAGTGCTGGGATTGCAAGTGTGAGCCACCATGTCCAGCCTATTTTCTTAAAAAAGAGTTATCTGCTACACCTTTTTTAAAGCATATTTAAAATGCATATGGCATTTTAGAGCCAATTAAATATTGTTACCCGCTTCTTGCCTGAGCCAGCTTCCTCCCTGAATGAGATTTAAGAACAAGAAATAAAAAGAGAAATAAGGAGATGTAACAAAACTTGAAACTACAAGAATCCTTGACTGGTAGCAAAAATAATAATAATAACTAGCCGCAGTCCAGTGATGCAATGTAGCATACAATTAGGAGAATCAATACTTCTGGCCTTTGAGGTAAAGGTGTTAAGAAGGAAAGCTTGACTGATTTGCTTGGAGAAAGCTCAGTGAACTTTCTGAAAGAAAACCCAAGACTCTTCATGACCGAGCACAGATTCCAAGCATTAGCACAGAATACCGCCACACATCTCATCCAACATGCTGGGCTTTGGGATTCTGGGGTGGGGGTATGTGTGTGTGTTAAGACCAGGACAGGAAACAAATATTTGAGAGTCCTATAAAAACAAGGTCCCTCTCTCTGGTCAATAATAGTAAACTAACTACATTCAGAGGACAGGAACGATGGCAGAGCTGTGGGTTCCTGAAAGGCACCTTCTGGAAGGCTCTGGCTGGCTGGGGGTCTCTATACAGATGATAAGGTTGGGTTACTAGGAATGGGAAGGCGCGGTGAGGACATTCCATGCTTAGCATGCATGAAGACGCAGAGATAAGAAGGAGGAAGGGGTCAGGGGACCTAACCAAAGGGAAGAAAGCCAAGTTGAGGAAAAACATGTTTATTGACTTTTTTTCCTCTTTTTGTTTCCACACTATGCCGACGTACTTTCATTTATTGACTTTTAAATAAGACAGTTTTCTGTGGTCCTGAATCATGGCAACCCCCATATAAGAGTGCCCCATATAACGTTTCTTGGAAGGAGGTAGGCCAGGCATGATGGCTCACACCTGTAAATTCCAGCACTTCGGAAGGCTGAGGTGGGAGGATTGTTTGAACCCAGGAGTTCAAGACCAGCCTGGGCAACATAGGGAGACCCCGCCTCTACAGAAAAAATTTCTAATTAGCTGAGTGTGGTGGCACTCACCTATAGTCCCAGCTACTCGGGAAGTTGAGGCAGGAGGATCAATTGAATCCAAGAGGTCGAGGCTGCAGTGAGCTGTGATTGTGCCACTGCACTCCAGCCTCAGATACAGAGCACGACCCTGTCTCAAAAAATCAAAAAGTTAAAAAATGTTTAAAATAAGCTTGGTAGAGATAATCTGTTAAACCATATAGGCCTAGTGGGTTTTGAATGGATAGACTTTAAATTATAGGTCTATTTATTTTCAAGTTTAAAATGTATACAGGCTTTCCATTTCTAAGTCAATTTTATTGACTGTGTTTTTCTGGAAATTTGCCCGCTTAATCTATGTATGTATTTAAAATCTAATCTATATATTTAAATTTATCATAAAGTAGTTTTTTTCTTTTTCATAAAAAAATGTTTAAAATTAAAATTTTTGGGCCGGGCGCGGTGGCTCACGCCTGTAATCCCAGCACTTTGCAAGGCCGACACGGGCGGATCACAAGGTCAGGAGATCAAGATCGTCCTGGCTAACACGGTGAAACCCCGTCTCTACTAAAACTATAAAAAAAAAAAATTAGCCGGCCATGGTGGCGGGCGCCTGTAGTCCCAGCTACTCAGGAGGCTGAGGCAGGAGAATGGCGTGGACCTGGGAGGCGGAGGTTGCAGTGAGCTGAGATCGCGCCACTGCACTCCAGCCTGGGTGACAGATGAGACTCCGTCTCAGAAAACAAAAGTAAATTAAATTAAATTATAATTTTTTAAAAAAGATAATAGCAGGCAGCTCCAATCTAAACCCCATAAAGTATATATTTCTTGTGTTTTAGAAAAAAAAAAAAACGTGTTTTGTGTGTCCAGAAGAGCTTGAAAATGAATGCTGAGCAGTGAGCATTTGCAGCCTGTGCATACTTCCATTTATAACTCCCTGAGGAACTAAGTCGAATTCATCCGATGTTTGTTAGCAACATGGCAGAAAACTCGGGGCAGAGCAAATATTCTAGGACAGAATCAGGGTTTTCCTGTACAGGGACAGTGTAACTTTGTTCCCAAAGCAAATACCAAAGGAAATAAAATCATAAATATTTAAGTCACAAATTCCCTCCTTAGGCATTACATGAGAGGTGTTCACGAAGAATAGGGAGTTGAATTTAGATTTTGGGGGTTTTTTGCTTGCTTGGTTTTTATGGAATTAACTCTTGGAATTAAAGGAATTAAACACTATTACCTGAACAGTTTTTGATTATTCTAATAGCCCAAGCTTGAACCAGGTAGGTTCCAGCTGGATTTCAGGTCCTACATATATTTGGGCCTTGAACTCTGTTTTGTTTCTCATGGATGGTAAGAGGAGTTAGGAAATAAATACTGGGTGGTTAGAAAAAGAGGAAGATTAATCCTGTGAGAACTTGTGTCCAAGCTGAAAGAGCCTGGGCACAATGGGAGGCTCACAGTACCTGAGCTTGGTCTTTTTCACCCCAAAGCCCCTGAGCATAAAAGAGGCTGAGATAAAAGGTTTGAGAGGACGTGTCAGAAAGGAAATATATGAGGGGCACATGTTCTCTTCATCCTCCCCTACATAGAGTGGCTGGGAGACACGGCAGGAGAGATCGGCTGGCTATGGAAAAGTTAACATTTTCTGCATCATAGGTAGGTTTGCCAGATAAAATACACAACTAGGGCCAGGCACAGTGGTTCATACCCATAACCCCAGCACTTTGGGAGGCTGAGGCAGGAGAATCCCTTGAGCCTGGGCGATAGAGGCTGCCGTGGGCCTATATCGTACGATTGCACTCCAGCCTGGATGACAGAGTGAGACCCTGTCTCAAAAAATAAATAAATAAATAAAATGCATGACTCTCACCTAAACTTGAATTTCAGGTAAGCAACAAATAACCATTTACTATAAGTATGGACCAAATATTGCATGGGACATACTTATACTAAAATAGTAGCCATCATTTATGTGAAGTGCAAATTTAACTGGGTGTTCTGTATTTGTATTTGCTAAATCTGGCAACCCTAATCACAACAAAAAGTTCACATGTATAAAAAAAGTGAAAAATCAAAGTACGGGAATAGAAGCACACGGTTTTGAGACAGGAAGAGAACTATCTCAAGAAACAACTGAAAGTGTGGAAGTAGCTTCCTCTTGGTATCAGGATTTGAGGGTGGGCAAAGTTCCAGGCAAGGAACTGCTGTCTTTCTTAAGCCTCAGCAATAAAGTTTGGATATTTTCATCTGTGTACTTCCATAACTTAGACAAAAATTAAAATTTAGTTTAAAAAAGGGAAATAGCCTTCAATGGTTTTCATAACATCTTTTGCCCTTCCAGAAAAAAACTGGCATGCCAAGTTGCCAAGTTTCAAGGGACTATAAGGAAAACAGCAAAAAATAAAAATAAAAAGAGAGACAGTAAAAGTTTTCTGCTGCGTCTTCTCCCTCCCCAGTGAATATCTGGGGTCCCTCATCATTTCCTCCACAGTGGGCAGGTAGATTCAGACCTCCAGCCTAGAGGATCCCCTCACAGCAGCATGCAGACGAAGGAGGTAGGAGGCAGGTAGGTTTTCCAGCAGGGAGAGTGGGGATTAGGGATTTAGCTAGTCATTATTGAGTGCTTGCTAAATGCCAAGCAGTATGCAAAGAACTGGACTCTGTGTTTGCTCCAATCCTTCCAGGAACCCTGTGAGATACTGTTATCTTCACTTTCGGATGAGGACATTGAGGCTAACTGAGGCCAAGTGACTTTCCAGAGATCTCTTAGTTAACAAGTGGCAGAGCTGCTATCGGAACCCAGACATGTCTGCCCCCCAAAACTGCACTCACATGCATGTTCAGCACAGCACTATTCACAATAACAAGGCATGGCATCAACCTAAGTGCCTATCCACCATGGACTGGACAAAGAAAATGAGGCCCATGTACATCATGGAATACTATGCAGCTGTTAAAAAGAACAAGATCATGTCCTTTGCAGCCACATGGATGGGGCTGGAAGCCATTATCCTAAGCAAACTAACACAGGAACAGAAAATCAAATCCCACATGTTCTCACTTATCAGTGGGAGCTAAACTTTGAGGACATATGTATAGAAAGAAGGGAGCAACAGACTCTGGGGCCTCCTCGAGGGTGGAGGATGGAAGGAGGGAGAGATCAAAAAACTATGGTGGGTGATAGCATAGTATCTGTATGACAAAATCATTTGTACGCCAAACCCCCAAAACCCACAATTTACCTATATAACAAACCTGCACATGGAACCCCTGAACATAAAATAAAACTTTAAAAAAATTAAAAATTTTTAAAACTCTGCACTCAACCGAAATGTTACACCATGCTTCAGGTGGGATACCAGCATCTGGAACTCAGGGAGCCAACGTTCCTCAAGATCGCCAAATCTAGCTGCCGCCAGAAAGAATGACCCAACACTGGCCTTGCTATAGCCAATGCCTGTTGTGCTGGGAAAGGAGACACTCGGGCTCTGATGGCCCAGGACCCTGCTGTGTTGCCTCGGGGGGTCTCATGATAAGCCCACCCAGAAAAAGAACGCTCGTCCTGTGACACTCCCACAAGGCTCCTTCCCCGGACTGGGCTTCCACCCGGAACGCCTCCCACAGTGGGTAAAGGAATCTAAGTGGCGTCCTGAGCGCTGCCTTCCCATGAGCCTCTGTAAGCCTGGGCTTTTGGAGAGCACCCCCTAAGAAGGTGCTGGACCTCATGTTCTCCCTGTTTGTTTCCCTCGAGTTCCCACTGGGGGAGAGAAGATGGAAGAGGAGATGTGACCATCGCTGGGGAAGGGGGTAAGGTCTGCCAAGGGCACAGTTCAAAGCCAAGAAGAGAGAAGACGGCTGGAGTTTGTTGTTCCGTGCCTGGGTATTTTCCAACTTGTGTTTCTAGAGAAAATAAGCCTAGGGCAGCCGAGGCTGTGGAGACAATATGGGCATGTAAACGCTGTCACTCAAATTAACACCTTTCGTCTCAGCTTTGATGCCGTCCAAGCCACCACACCTGAACATGATAAACTCATGAAATTATCTCACCAGATCAGAGTTTTGGGAACTGTCAAAGTCCTGTTTCCTTCCTTCAAGATGGTACAGATCTATGGTTAGAGAGAAAGGACACGATGGGGGTGAGGGTGAGAGGGGCTGCCACTGTCCATCCATCATTATGACTATGACTTGCAGAAAGCCCAGCTGCACAGTCAGCGGGGTTTAAGCTCCCAGAACGTCGTGGGGAATGCCCCCTGGTGATTCTCAGGGCTCCCTCTTGCCAGCATCAGATAATGGCCAGGATGATAAGTTTCACCTACCTGGACTGGAACCTCTTCCCGTATTTGATCCCAGTTAGGGATCTGATTCCCTCCTAAGGTGAGTTGCCTTTGATGTCTGAGATTCTCCCGGGGATAAGGGAGAGTCTTCAGGGATGACTCCTTGGCCCTGGCCGGCTGGGTACCCTGCCTGGCTCCATGTGGAATCCCTGTAGCCCTTAGGAGTTTCTCCCACCCTGGAGGCCCCTCACTTCAAGCAGCCCGTTCCCTGGGGTCTACAGGGAAATTAAGAATACTTTTTCCTAAAACAAACATCAAGAAAAAGCTTTCTATTTTTATATGCTAAGGATGTGAGTCTTTAGCCAGCAAATAGGAGGTTTATTTCTGTTTGTTTTGTTTTTGTTTGTTGTTTTAGGAAGCCAAAGATGAAATGTTTTTAAGATTCTGGCTTATAGAAGCTTCCATGGGACCTCCCTCTCTCACTGAGCAGAATTTCTGTTCTGTTAGTCTCTTTCCCCAACTATCACAGATATTTCTGAGAGGACTGGGAGGCTCTTGCAGGTGTCTCAGGGTCGGCTGACGCCTCCAGAGAGAAGGATGATGGCTGGTGGTGTGGAACCCACTCAGGGAGCTCTGTCTGTCTGTCTGTTTGTTGAGTCACTGAAAATCCCCAAGCTGTCAGCATGAGTTGGGAACTAAAAGAAGAAAACAGACTTTAGGTAGCTCACTCTTTCCCTAGTCCTTGGCTGGCATTTGACACTGATTGGCACAGTTGCTCACAAGTGTTTCAGGGTAGAAAGGGGCTTATTCCGAGTTCTCAACTTCTGGACCAAAAAAAAAAAAAAATCCCGTATTAGCCAACTGACACACATGCACTCTAAAGAATATCAGATGTCGGACGTGATAAGCCACATGGGGTGAGGTGCATACATGGAGCATCAAACACCAGCACAGAAGTCACCTGGGCTCTGGGCTGTCCTAACCAGTGCAGAGCCAAAGGGCTCTCTTCAAATCTAGTTGACCCAGTTTTCCCCAAGCGGGAAGGCCACAGCACTTCACAGCACTTGGGGAGGTCAGGAAGGTCAGGCAGGACAAACTAAACAAATCCTCCGCTTTCCATTGCCCCCACGCCCCATGAAGAATGAAGGTGGGGTTGGGGGAGAGAACAAGCTAGACCACAGGGCAAATTCCGACAGGCTGGAGGAAAACGCTGTGGAGGACAGGATTCTTTCGCCTCTAGTTCCTCCTTCCAAAAGTGCATTCTTCCAGATTCTGAATCTTCTAAATTAGGAGCAATCCCAATGGCCTAGAAAATTCAGGCCAAGTTTCTCCAAGGAAGCATCTGCCACCCTGAGATCTGCTCCCAACTTCTTGAAACCTTGGCAAACATCTGCCTGTTCTCAGCTCCCGCCAACCCCCCCCCCCCCGCCTCCAGCCTCGGGCCCCCCAGGCGGGCATGCAGCAGCTCGAGATAGCAGCTCCGCCCTCTTCCCGGGAGGGAGGCAGCAGCCCTAGCAGGTGTCTCTGGCTTCTCTCCTGCGGCAAGAGGCGCATGCAGGTGCCTCCTGCCACTCCCTTTTTCCTCCCAGTGGGAGTGGGCGGCTAGGGAGGTGTCCCAGCCACTCCCTCTGCCTCCCTGGGGCTGGTGGCTTAGGGAGGTACCTCAACTCCTTTCTCAGAGCAGAAGGCTGGAGTCCCTGGGCCACACCACACCCTCCCACGCTGCTTTTGCACCAGCCCTTCCAGCGAGCAGCGCTCACCCTCACCACCTCTGAGGAGCTCTGGAACTCCCCTTACAAAGTAGAAAATCCCCGTAGCCATTGGGGACCCCATGAGTTCTCCTTTCTAGACTCCATCAGCCTGTCACTCAGGCTCTCCTCTCCCATATCTGATTCCCACATTGAGAAGAAAAGAGGAGAGAGAATTCCTCCTCAAGGTTGTGTAGGTTGAGGGTAGATGATAACAATCCAATCTTTTTTTAGAAAGAAAGGGTCTTGCTCTGTCACCCAGTCTGGAGTGCAGTGATGCAATGCTAGCTCACTGCAGCCTCAACCTTCCCAGATCAAGCAACCCTCCCATCCCAAGTAGCTGGGACCACATGCATGCACCACCATGCCTGGCTAATTTTTTTTTTTTTTGTAAAGATTGGGGTGGGGGGGTCTCATCATGTTGCCCAAGCTGATCTTGAACTCCTTGGGTCAAGTGACCCTCCCACCTCAGCCTCCCAAAGAGCTGGGATTACAGGTGTGAGCCACCATGTCTGACCAGATTTTTTCAATTCAATTCTCCACTAAGACAGAACTTGAGGCCTGTAATCCCAGCACTTTGGGAGACCGAGGCCGGCAGATCATGAGGTCAGGGGTTTGAGACCAGCCTGACCAACATGATGAAACCCCATCTCTACTAAAAATACAAAAATTAGCCGGGCATGGTGGCGCGCACCTGTAATTCCAAGTACTCAGGAGGCTGAGGCAGGAGAATCGCTTGAAACTGGGAGGCAGAGGTTGCAGTGAGCGAAGATCACACCATTGCACTCCAGCCTGGGCGACAGAGCAAGACTCCGTCTCAAAAAAAAAAAAAATAGAAACAAAGAACTTCAGGTCCAGCTCATCCATGTCTGGAGGGTGATGGCAAAAGAATGAATGAGTGAAACATGGGGCCCTTCCAGGAAATGGCTCCCGCATGTGTGCCTCCATCCCTACCTCATTTCTGTGTGCACTTGGGGGGCTACCAAGAGGAAGCCCAGGTAGACAGGTTAGCCCACCACAGCACAGCCCACCCAGCCCCCAGTGAAGGGCCATGGCTCCGTGACAGAGCAGGTTGCCTTACGGAGAAGTGTCTTGCCTCACTGGGAGGGAGCTACCCAGGGAAGTAGAGTTCCAGGGACACAGAGAGCCCCCGAGAGCCCAGCCTCCCAAATGCACCTTACAGAAGGAACCCTGGAGAGGAGAAGGCAGTCGGTGGGGAGAAAATGCTCCAAGGAAAATCTGCTAGGATGGCAGTGACATTTGGTTAAAAAAAGAGGAACAAGAAGGTAAGAAGGAGTTGACAGTGATAACAAAAATGACCCAGCCTAGAAAAAGCACCACCCCCACCCCACCAAAAAAAAGGGTCCTGGCATTCAAAATAATTGTAATTTTTAAAAAACCAGGATAATTTGTTGTTCTAATCCAAGGATTGGTGACTTTTTTACTACAATGATGATGTCCTTTGTTCCTCGGGCCCCTGGGGATATCCAGGCATGGCCTGTGTCTGTTCTATTCTGGATGTGAACGAGCTCACACCTTGGTTAGCTAGGCTGAGCTTGAGCTGAAATTTCAGGAGTCTTCGGCTAAAAATCCAGTCACCAGACACTTGGGTAAAGGGGGCATTTTCCCAGAAGCTGTTGACCAGGGATTTGGGGTTCAGTATTAAAGACAATCACTCATGATTAAGCCTCTGACTTCATCCCTTCTCCCAAGATCTGTCTGTGAGACAGAATTGCTTCATTATGAAAGTGGAGCTTCCTTGGTCTTTCTTTTTATCTAGTGCATCTCCCTCAGCCCAGTGCAGTTAATAATGATCTTCTGGCCAGGCGCGGTGGCTCACACCTGTTAGTTTCAGCATTTTGGGAGGCTGAAGGGGGCAGATCATGAGGTCAGGAGTTTGAGACCAGCTTGACCAACATGGTGAAACTCTATCTCTACTAAAAATACAAAAATTAGCTGGGCATTGTGTTGGGCACCATGCCGGGCACCTGTAATCCCAGCTACTTGGGAGGCTGAGACAGGAGGATCATTTGAACCCGGGAGGTAGAGGTTGCAGTGAGCCAAGATTGCACCATTGCACTCCAGCCTAGATGATGGGGCGAGACTCTGTCTCAAAAAATAAAAATAAAAAATAATCATCTTCTACCTTGCACAAGTGTTCCATGAGTCAAAAACTAAGAATTGACAAGTGAACCATCTTACAGACAGGGAAACTGAGGTGCTGAAAAGGGAAGTGTTGCACCTTAAAGATGATAACAGCCACAGCAAAGAAGCCTCCTCATCTCCAGGAGCCTACATGTGACCTAGAGTTTTCACAGTCCAGTGTTTGGGCGGAAGAACTTCAGTTTCCCTCTAGGTCCTGCAAGAGGAGTGGGAATGTCAGTAATGTATGATCCCTTATCTTGGGTCAATCCAGTCTGGGTTTTTCGTATCCTTCCTGGAAGTATGTAACCATGAAACAACACTGCCTTTTAGAAATGCTGTTTCTTACCTCTATGTGTTCTGTGAAATTCCTTAAAACCCGTAGAACTGTAATCAGATGAAGTAAAATTCCAAAATCTCCTGTGCAACTCCCAAGAGAGTCCCAGCCTCCTATCCACATAGCTGAATGTGATCAAAGAATGAGGAAATTAGGTCGAGAATGACCTGCACAGACTCTCTAGGACAAACTTCTGATTAAACAGATGAACAAAGGGCATCCAAGGGCTATGGGATTAGCCCAAGAACAGCCACTAGGAATTGACTGAACCAACATTGAGTCCCAGTCTCTTGACTTCCCATTCATAAGAAGATGAAATTAGCATTACCAGAATCAGACAGCCCCTCTGTAATGGTTTACACAGAATAATGCTGTGAGCTCAGTGCTGATTAGCTTAACCTCACTCACAACCACAATTTGAGTTCCATAATACTGTCAGTGACATCACCGTTGGGGTGACAAGATAGTCCTACAGTCTCCAGAGAAAACATGGCATTGGGGTTCCTGATAATACAGGCACGTGCAGGTATGCCTTACTTCCTGAAAATTCTATGCTACTGAATTCATATTGAATTTTTGTAATGATAGCATTTCTTTTTTTTATACTTTTTTTATCGTACTTTAAGTTTTAGGGTACATGTGCACAACGTGCAGGTTTATTACATGTGTATACATGTGCCATGTTGGTGTGCTGCATAGCATTTCTATGCACTGGGAAGTTGACTATATAAAGTATCCTAAGGTGAATTCTTATTATTAGCAAAGCATCTTTTTGCAAAGCAAATCATTCCTCCTGATGTTTATAAATAAGTTTTACTTAAAGTGAAGTGCGTATCTGTACTGAAAGCTAATCTCCATATTATTCTAAGCACAGCTCAGATTCCATAAAGGACCTCACTTTGGGAGCAGCGTGGGAAGAAAACATTTGAATAAGAGCAGGTCCAGGAGAGAAATCAGATAGATCCACCTCTTTCCTAACTTCTCCCGTCTTCTAGGTGTCTCTTTATCAGAGCAAAGTCCCAACCATAATGCCCAAAATTAAGATTTTGGAGGAATTTCATGGGAGGAAAATAACAATTTTTTTAATTTTTTTATTTTAGCGTCTGAGTCACCACACTAGAAGAAGAAAATAATTATTAACGTGGTAGACAAGAAAGCCTATCATTTGGTGAAAAATAAATGGCATCATTTATTTTATTGGGAAAATATTCCCAAATTCTCAGCAGCATTATTCCAAAGCAAGGACGGGAGAAGCAAGATTCTACATATATGCAGAAAAGATTAAAAGGAAGTCAAAAAACTGTTTAAGAGATTAAGCCCATGGGCCTGGTGTGGTGGTTTCACACCTGTAATCCCAGCACTTTGGGAGGCCAAGGCAGGAGGATCACTTAAGGCCAGGAGTTCAAGACCAGCTTGAGCAACACAGGAAGACCCAGTCTCTAAAAAAAATTTATTTTAATTAGCTGGGCATGGTGGCAGACACCTATAGTCTCAACTACTCAGGAGGCTAAGGTGGGATGATCACTTGAGCCTGGGAGGTTGAGGCTCTAGTGAGCCATGATTGCACCACTGAAATCCAGCCTGAGTGAGAGAGAGACTGCCTCAAAAACAAAGAAAAAGCTAAATAAATACATACATACATAAAAAAAAAACATAAATAAATAAATAAATAAAAATCCAGGCCGGGCATGGTGGCTCATGCCTCTAATCCCAGCACTTTGGGAGGCCGAAGTAGGCAGATCACCTGAGGTCAGGAGTTCAAGACCAGCCTGGCCAACATAACAAAACCCGTCTCTACTAAAAATACAAAAATGAGCCAGGTGTGCTGGCATGCGCTTGTAATCCCAGCTACTTGGGAGGCCGAGGCAGGAGAATCACTAGAACCCGGCAGGCGGAGGTTGCAGTGAGCTGAGATCGCACCACTGCCCTCCAGCCTGGGCAACAGAGCAAGATCCTGTCTAGAAAAGGAAAAAAAAATCCAGGAGTTTGAGAGATTAAGCCCATCATAGGAGTCCAATAAATACTTTAGATCGATTATCAGATTTGTTTGCTGGCATGGTTGGTTGGTTGGTTGGTTGGTTGGTTGGTTTTAAGTGGGAGCTGTAAGGAAAAATTACAGAACCAGGAATTGCGCTGGGTGTGAAGTGAGATATGGTGCACACAGAGGAGAAAGGAAGCCATTTTCTTCGTTTTCCCCAAAGAGAGGGATCTGGTGAGCACACAGAAGGCTAATGTCATGCTAGAGTTTTCTTTCTCTGATTACTAAAGCAATATATGCTCATTGTAGAACATCTGAAAGGAAACTGTGAAGAAGTAGAAGTCAGCATGGAGGTAACCACTGTTAACCTGGGGACAGACTTCGAGAGCTCTTTAAAGGCAGAAAATGTTCTTTCTTTCTCGAATGGTGTCAACGAGGCTCTGTTCAGAGGCAGGACCTTCTGCTTCAGCATCAGGGAACCCCAGGGTGCTAAGCTTCGGTTCCTGCCACAGGAGGCTTTGCATTCCGTGCAGCAAGATGACTAAAGCAGAGGGACCTGGAAAATAACAACCCCACATTCTCAGGGCCCCTGCCCCCCGCAGAGCAATGGGGCCCAAGCCTGGTGAGTTGTCGCCTGGCTTGATCCCCACCTTGCCCTCCTGCAACGTGAGACATCTGTCCAGGTGAGGGTGGAGTACGCCAGGTACTGACAAATGGGAAAGTATCACCCTGAGGCACTCACAGCTCCTACATGGAGCTCTCGGTTCAGGGAAAAAAATAAACCAAGGGAGGAATTTTCCACTGTCCCATTAATCAAGAGAGCAGCAGGCTCGGTGCAGAAAACTCATTGTAGGCACTCCAGGTCTTGCGACCCACCCAGCCCCACCACGAGTCAACACTTCCCTGGTGGGGTCGCCGTCTGTTGTACATGGTCGCTAATGCATCTTCATGTGTGTAAACAGCTTCTGAATATTTTTTACCTAATACGGGCCTGCAAGACGGGCCAGGTGGCCTTAGCTCTTTGCACAGCTGTAGTAGGAGAAGCTACTTGAAGAGAGTTAGAAGAAAGCTCGCCACCACACATCTTCCCTATCTTGGTTCACAGTGGCTGTGAACACCCCTGAGATTCAAATCCTCAGCTGGAGGCTTTCCCAGTCCCTCTAAGAGTGGATAAGAGGTCGCTCAACCACTAACTAGCTGGGCAAACTGAGGCAGGTTATTGAACTTCTTTAAGCCTCTGTATCCCCATCTGTAAATAAGTTGTTATTTATCTGTAAATAAGTTGTTATCCCCATCCCTCATTAAGTTGTTACGAAGATTCAATGACATAAACACACACACGGAACCTGGCACATCCACGCTTAGCAAATGTGAGTTGTGAATATCCAGCAACTCATTTATTCAACAGCTACTTATTGAGAGCCAACATACTTCTGGGGACACATGGTTTCTGCCTTCAAGGATGACATCATCTAGTGGGGGAGAGAAATGTTAAAAACCAACAATGACTACATGCCGTGATCACTTCTGTGAGGTGTGTAGAATAATCACCCGTTTGTGGCCTATCACATATATCTCCCCAATGATGCTACAAGGCACATATTAGCATGCCCATCTTACAGACCATGAGTCTGAGGCCCAGAGGTCACCTTGTGGACTTCAACCCAGGTTTGACCACAATGCTCTTGGTCCACATTCACCGGCTCCTTTTTATTTATTTTTTTTTTTAGACAGAGTCTCACTTTCTTGCCCAGGCTGGAGTGCAGTGGCGGCTTGGCTCACTGCAGCCTCCACTTCCTGGGTTCAAGTGATTCTCCTGCCTTAGCCTCCCAAATAGCTGGCACTACAGGCATGCACCACCACACTCAGCTAATTTTTATATTTTTAGTAGAGAAGGGGTTTTATTACATTGGCCAGGCTGTCCTTTTTTGGGGGGCAGGGGTGGGGCAGGAACAGAGTCTTGCTCTGTTGCCCAGACTGGAGTGCAGTGGCACCATCTTGGCTCACTGCAACCTTCACCTTCCAGGTTCAAGCAATCCTCCTGCCTCAGCTCCCCCTAGTAGGTGGGATTACAGGCTTGTGCCACCTCACCTGGCCAATTTTTGTATTTTTAGTAGAGACAGGGTTTCTCCATGTTGGCCTGGCTGGTCTCGAACTCCTGACCTCAGGTGATCCACGTGCTTTGGCCTCTCAAAGTGCTGGGGTTACAGGCGTGAGCCACCGCACCCAGGCTTTTTTTTTTTTTTTTTTTAATATTATAGGATCCACCAAAGCTTCAGGTGGACCTGCTCAGGATAACTCACATGACCCCTCGACGCTG
Organism: Homo sapiens; assembly: GCF_000001405.40. Lineage (NCBI taxonomy): Eukaryota > Metazoa > Chordata > Mammalia > Primates > Hominidae > Homo > Homo sapiens. The sequence continues at coordinate 8,096,299 of NC_000010.11, read as the reverse complement.
TACACAGCTTTAAATCTGAACCCAAATACACTCACCCATTATGCGAGCCACACTGCCGGTTTGATGCAAAAATCCCTGCAGATTGTCATCAGTCGTGGTTCACGCTGTGGTCACCGCAGCTGTTCTTTGTCATTGCAGAATTGCAACCCTGCATGTCACTCTGGGACATATGGCCCTGGGCCTATAAACTGCCACCAGGCCACCGACGGCTGCTCCTCACCGCCTGACAGTGATGATTAAACATGGTCTATTTAGAGGAGCCGTAAAGAAGCCAGATATCCCTCGCAGAGGAGCAGAGGGGCGCACAAACAATGGGACAGATTTTCCTGTCTCTCGGGAGAGTCACTCTCTCATCTTTCACCGAGAGAAAAAAGTCATGCAATGAGAATCTGGCAGGAGAACCCAAGGGGGGTTTCGGGGCAGGAGAGGCAGCCAGGACATGGATGTCCCCCCAACGCTTCCGCTGCCCGCGCTCCTACTTCAAGTGAAGAAATGGAAAGCACTTTTATTTCTTCTGAACTCCCGGCCTGTCCCGCTAGTTTCGTTCATTTGCTGCTCTTGAAGGTAGGAATCCCCCAGCCCCAAGACAGCCCACCCAGCATGCCAGGCCTGTCCACAGTCTCCATCCAGTTTCTGTGCCCTGGTACCCAAATTTCAGAGTACACCTGCAGAAAGCCCCTAACTTCACCCAAGTCCACCCAAGGGCTCCACCATCCTTCAGTCATCTCCGGCGGATTCCCTGCTGTGTTCCCTGGGGAATTCCCTGGACTCTCCAACCTGCCCAGCCCTGCTGTTCTCCCCGTAGATGGCCTGGCCTCTTCCCGCCATGACCGTCCTCAACTTCCCTGTTCATCATTAACATCAAACACCCAGAGACACCACAGCCATGTGCAGACACTGCCTTGTTTACCCCACTCCTTACCCCAACTTCTGAATTTTTTTCCTTCTCTTTTTCTCTCTCTTGGGAGAGGGCCTTTGTTCCTGATCCTTTTCTCTCCCATCTCCTGGAGGATTTTTCGCCATTCGGCTCCACCAGTCTTGCACTTTTATTTATTTATTTTTTTTTAATAGAGACAAGGGCCTCACTCTGCTGCCCAGTCTGTTCTCAAACTCCTGGCCTCAAGCGATCCTCCCACCTTGGCCTCCGCAAGTGTTGGGATTACAGGCGTAAGCCACCATGCCTGGTCCTGTTTGGCACCTTTTATCCTTGTCTTCACTCCAGTCACTCCTTCTCTTCTGCTTGATAACTTGATTGCATCACTTCTAATCTAAAAAACTTGAGAGCAACACTTTCACCCACTCAATTTATTAGTTTATTACTTTATGTAGACAGAGTCTCGCTCTGTCACCCAGGCTGGAGTGCAGTGGTATAATCGCAACTCGCTGCAACCTCCCTCTCCCAGGTTCAAGCAATTCTCATGCCTCAGACTCCCGAGTAGCTGGGACTACAGGCATGGGCCACCATACCTGGCTAATTTTTGTATTTTTAGTAGAGACAGGGTTTTGCCATGTTGGCCAGGCTGGTCTTGAACTCCTGACCTCAAGTGATCCACCCACCTCAGCCTCTCAAAGTGCTGGGATTACAGGCATGAGCCACCGTGCCTGGCCTCATCCATCAGTTTAATACCCCAGTCTCTTCTCTGACAAAGATTTCCAGGATAAATCTCCAGGACTTCTTCCTGTCTTCCAACATGTGTTTTGCCCCTAACTGTCTGATGCCTACTACTACCATCTCACTGAAATTCTTTTCCCAAGTCAAAATATCCACCTCCTTCTAAAAGCTAGTGATCTCTTTAACCCTGATTTCTGCAACATTTCACTTTCCTCCTTGAGCTGCCTCCTGGCTTGGCTTCCAGGAAACAGGTCTTCCCGGAGGCTGCTCTCACCTCTCAGACTGCCTTCTCATCTCCCTGTCCAGCTCCAGCGCTCTCTGCCTTCCACCTCTTATGCAGGGTGATTGTCAAATCAATGGGATTCCCCATTGATAAATCCATGCTCTCCACTGTCAAGGTCTCTCTTTGTGACCTCACAGCCTTCCCATGACTGCAAGGGGGATTCTGGGCAGACCGCCCCCATGCATATCTCTTCCTAACTCCACTCTCTGCCTGTTGAACCACTTGATCAAGATACCCCATCAGCAACTCAAGATGTCTGAAGCTCAGTTTATCATCTCTTCTCAAACACTGGCTCCTCGGGACTTGATATACCCTTCAAAGAGGCTCCAGGGGTGTTTGAGAAAGCAGCATAAAGGAGTCGCTTCCCCGTCACCTGGCATAGACTCATTCTACCTCAGTCCACCTCATCTAGTCAATTTCCAGGTTCCCCTGATTCTCCTTTGCAAGTTCTCTCGCATCCATCCCCATCTCTCCAAGTTGCCCTCTTAGATGCCCCCTTTTACCTGGGCTCCTGCAATGGCCTAGGGCTAGTTTCTCCTTTTCCCATCTTTCTGCCCGCTAATCCATCCCATATCCATTGTCAAATGTGGAGCTGTGATTAGATCACTCCTCTGCTAAAATGTCTTTAATGTCTCCATATTGAATACAAAAAAAAGGCCCAATTCTTTGTTTTGTTTTGTTTCTGAGTTTTTTTTCTTGAGACGGAGTCTCGCTCTGTCGCCCAGGCTGGAGTGCAATAGCACAATCTCGGCTCACTGCAACCGCCGCCTCCCAGGTTCAAGCGATTCTCCTGCCTCAGCCTGTTGAGTAGCCGGGATTACAGGTGCATGCCACCATGCCCAGCTAAATTATTATGATGATGATTATTTTGAGACAGAGTCCCAGGCTCAAGCAATTCTCCTGCCTTAACCTCCCAGTAGTTAATTTTTGTATTTTTAGTAGAGACGGGGTTTCACCATGTTGCCCAGGCTGGTTGTGAGCTCCAGACCTCAGGTGATCCACCTGCCTCAGCCTCCCAAAGTGCTGGGATTATAGGTGTGAGCCACCGCGCCCGACTTTTTCTTTTTTTTTTTTTTTTTTGTATTTTTAGTAGAGACGGGGGTTTCTCCATGTTGGCCAGGCTGGACTCAAACTCCTGACCTCAAGTGATCTTCCTGCCTCGGCCTCCTAAAGTGCTGGGACTACAAGTGTGAGCCACCGTGCATGGCCTGATTTTCAAAGGTATTAAATATATTGATAGTCAGGCATTTTTTTTTTAATAGAGAGAGACAGGGTCTCGCTGTATTGCCCAGGCTGGTCTCAAACTCCTGGGCTCAAGCAATCCACCCACCTTGGCCTCCCAAAGTGCTGGCGTTACAGGCATGAGCCACTGCACCCAGCAGGGCCTATTCTAATAATAATAGTCACTATCTATGGAACATTTACTCTATGCCATGCACTAGGTTAAATGTTGTACCTATGTTATCTCATTTAATCCTCATTGCAGCTCCCATTTTACTGGTAAGAAAATATATTTTCTACAGTCTAAAAGCATGTGACTCAGTGATCCTCCACCCCTGCCCCACTCCCAACCAGACCTCCACGGCCCTTTGCTCCACTTCAGCTCTGGAAGCTTGGGGAGTTAAATGGCAATTAGCCTTGGTGCCTAATTTTAAGAATATCTGAGTTTATGCAGCCATTAATTCTCTTCATGAAGAGCCACTCATATAGAATCTGCCACTGCTGTTAATCAGCACTAGCCACGAGTCAGTAAGATAACAGGCAGGAGAAGCAATCAGACCTGTTTGTCTTAATGTGTCTGAATCATTTCTACTTCAATATTGAAGTTTTATGCATCTTTCATACCACAGGTTCACCCCCAAAGGTACAGCACAATGTCTGGGCACAGTGGACACTATATTTTTATTGAATTTTTTTTCCTTTTTAGGGTGTAATTGAATTTTTGTACATGCACTGCTGTCATACATGCACTGCTGTACATACACACAAGTCTGCCTTACTCACATGGAAACACATCTCTAGATAGTGCAGAAGAGAAAGTATTTCCCTCCTCTGCCTGCCCAGGACTCTAAAACCTTCATATTTTAAGAGAGTCAAGAGATCTGAGTGACGGCTGACTGCAGCCCTGGCCTGAATGCTTTGGGAGACTGGTCTAGGTAAGAGGTCAGGGCTTGATTGGCCCTGAAACAAGGAGCTAAGGGCTCTTCCCAGTCTCTCTGAGCTCCATGGAAAGCATGAGGCCAGCAGCAAACAGAACAGAAACCTGTCTACACAACAGACAGCACACTCCCCTATACCTGCCTCACCAAGGGAGAACAGGGCCCTGAACTTTTGGGGACCTTGTCAAAGCTGGCCTCCAATCCAAACATCAGCGAATCAGAGTGGATCTCACTGCCTTTTTCCTACTTAAAGAAAGGGAAATCCTAAAAACTATTCTCGGCCAGGGGTGGTGGCTCTAGCCTGTAGTCACAGCACTTTGGGAGGCCAAGGTGGGCGGATCACGAGGTCAGGAGCTTGAGACCAGCCTGGCAAACATGGTGAAACCCCATCTCTACTAAAAATACAAAAATTAGCCAGGTGTGGTGGTGGGCACCTGTAATCCCAGCTACTCGGGAGACTGAGGCAGGAGAATCGCTTGAACCTGGGAGGCAGAGGTTGCAGTGAGCTGAGATTGCGCCATTGCACTCCAGCCTGGGTGACAGAGCAAGACTCCGTCTCAAACACATATTCTCTTCCCCACCCAATATTGAGCTTCAGATATCTGCTCTGATGGAAAAAGGAAAAAAATACAGGCACTAAACTAATTTAAATTTGGATTTGGAATGTCAAGGTGAACACACAAACATGTAAGCACTTGCACATCCATTGAGAAAGACACAGGTACACATTCTCCAGACGTAAATACTCACTTTTGTAGCCATCCGACATGTGACTAACCTGATCCTATTATTGGGGGCCAACGCCTTGATCACATTAAGCTATAAACTTTCTTTTCTTTTTCTTTTTTTTAAAAGGAAGGATCTCGCTCTGTCACCCAGACTGGAGTTCACTGGTATAGTCATAACTCACTACAGCCTTGATTTCCTGGATTCAAGCGATCCTCTCACCTCCACCTCCCAAGTAGCTGGGACTACAGACACCACCATGCCTGACTATTTTTTTAATTTTTCTGTAGAGACACGGTCTCACTATATGTTTCCCAGGCTGTTCTCCAACTCGTGGCCTCAAGCAACCCTCCCCTCTCACCTTCCCAAAGTACTAGGATTATAGGCATGAACCACCACTCCTGGCCCAACATTTTCCTTTTCTGAGGATCCCCTGAGTTCATATGGGGCTGATGTCCACACCACTGATATTCCACTCTGGATGCCAAGAGTACATTTAGACGTTGAGTCGAATAGCACGTTGCATTGTGACATTTTTCAAATACTGTCCAACAATTTGACCTCACCCTAGGCTGGAATAACAACTCTTGTGGGGGGTGGTCACAAAATAGGCCGCCATGGACAACATATTCTTATCAATACTCCCTCCGCCAAAGATCCCACAAGCTATAATTACCATCGTATTCCACCTTCTTGAAAGGAGAAAACTGTAGCGTGAAGGAAGTCAGCCCCTGGTCTGGTATTGTGTAACAAGTGAAACTTAGGACAAAGACGGTGAATCTCTCACGTTCTGCATATTTTCATCACTTTCTTTCATAAACCCAGTGATTCCAAGAGGAAGAAAAGAGAACTTGAAGGATCAAATCCCAGCCCTTGGCGGGCATCCATTTCTCTTCGTAAGGATGATTTTCCTTCTTGCCTTTTTATAGCATTGACAGGTGCCATTAAAAAAAAAAATGACTTGTACCTAGCATTGCCCTACTCATCCTTCCAACTCTAGGGATTTTTTTATATTTTTAAAAAGGAATTTCAGACACTTAGAAATTTGACTTTATTGATCTCATAAGTGGGAGCTGAACAATGAGAACACATGGTCACAGGGAGGGGAACGACACACACTGGGGTCTGTCAGGGGGTTGAGGGAGGGAGAGCATTAGGAAAAATAGCTAATGCATGCAGGGCTTAATACCTAGGTGATGGTTTGATAGGTGCAGCAAACCACCATGGCACACGTTTACCTATGTAGCAAACCTGCACATCCTGCACATGTATCCTGGAACATTAAATTAAATTAAATTAAATTAGAAATTTGACTTTATTGGCCAATTCCTGGTGGGTAGCAGCATTCACATTCCTGTTTATTGCCTTTGTATGACTGATTCTTTCATTGTCCAGTAAATGGCTTAATGAAGTCCAATAGCCACCTCTCAGAAGGCAAGTTGTTTTTATCTTCATTTAGTTTTGCTTTGCTATAAATGCTTCAGTTTGTTCTGCCATCCCTTGAAGGATGTCACGTATAGTAATGACAGAGTGGGGCCACCTATTTTATGCCACACGGGAATGTTTGGTTTCACAGTGTGTGCTAGGTGCAAGAGTAATTCAGGACAGTGACTCCTAATACCTCGCCTAACCTTGGATGTCACAGAGAGTTCATAAGTCTCCTTCACAACCCCTAAGAAATATAATGGGGGGCCGGGCACAGTGGCTCATGCCTGTAATCCCAGCATTTTGGAAGGCTGAGGTGGGAAGATCACTTGAGCCAGGAGTTCAAGATCAGCCTGAACATCACAGCAAGACCCCATCTCTAAAAAAAAAAAAAATTAAAAACAAGCTTAGCATGGTGGCATGTGTCTGTCGTCCCAGCTTCTCAGGAGGCTGAGGCAGGGAGATCTCTTGAGACCAGAAGTTCGAGGCTGCAGTGAGCTAGGATCAGTCCACTACACTCTCGCCTGGGTGCCAGAGCAAGTTCTCTCCTGTAAAAAAAATTTTATTTATGTATTTATTTTGAAATGGAGTCTCTCACTCTGTCAGCCAGGCTGGAGTGCACTGGCACAACCACGGTTCACTGCAACCTCCGCCTCCCAGGTTCAAGCGATTCTCCTGCCTCAGCCTCCCGAGTAGTTGCAATTACAGGTGCCCACCAACACGCTATAGAATAGAAATAATTTTTCTATTTTTAGCAGAGATGAGGCTTCACCACATTCACCAGGCTGGTCTCAAACTCCTGACCTCAAATGATCCGCCTGCCTCGGCTTCCCAAAGTGCTGGGATTACCGGCATGAGCCACTGCGCATGGCCAAAAATTTAAATTTAAATTTAAATTTTCAAAAAAACTTCTGTCTGCATATTAATTCTGTTCAACCTCCAAAAGGGGGAGTGAGCAAGGCTAAGCCCACCACTTCCACTCCCCAAGACAGAGAAAGTAGGATGGGGTTCGCAGTGAAAAACAGACAAACAAAACATTGCTGCTTCTTTTTCTAGATCCATGTACAGTTCCAACAGGGCCAATCATGCTCGCTAACATTAATTAACCAGTCAGCCACTCTCAGATCTGGAACGAAAGGCAAGAGGCATGCAGAGTGTACCTCTATTAATATTATTATGGTTATAATTATATCTTATGGCAGTTTCCCTACCCTCCACTGCTCAACACTGGTTAATTTCTCCGTCATAAAAAGAGGGTTCTTTTATGGGACGAAGTGTTTTGTGATTAGTTTGGTTTGAGTTTTACCAGCCTAGACCTAATTCAGGGTAGCAAGCCTCCACGTGGGGCCTGAAATCCGTTATGTGCTTAAGTGTGTGGGCAGGCAGGCAGTCTGAAAGGAAATGGCCACTCCCTGCAGTCTGTCCAATAGGAAACCACATCCTCCTTCAGCGTTAGAAGGGGATTTTCTTTTTTTAATTTATTTTAATTTTTTTTTAAGAGACAGAGTGTTGCTCTGTCTCCAAGGCTGGAGTACAGTGGCACCATCACGGCTCACTGCAGCCTCAGACTCCTGGGCTCAAGTGATTCTCCTGCCTCAGCCTCCCAAGTAGCTGGGACTCCAGGCATGCACCACCATTGTCATGTAATTTTTTAATTTTTTGGTAGAGATGGTGTCTCTCTATGTTGCCCAGGCTGGTCTTGAACTCTTGGGCTCAAGTGATCCTCTGGCCTCAGCCGGTAATCTCAAAGTGCTGGGATTACAGGCATGAGCCACTGCACCTGGCTATGGGAGGGGTATTTTTTTTTTTTTTAGACGGTGTCTCACTCTGTTGCCAGGCTGGAATGCAGTGACATGATCTCCACTCACTGCAACCTCCACCTCCCAGGTTTAAGTGATTCTCCTGCCTCAGCCTCCCAAGGAGCTGGGACTACAGGTGCATGCCACCACGCCCAGTTAATTTGTGTATTTTTAGTAGAGACAGGGTTTCACCATGTTGGCCAGGATGGTCTCCATCTCTTGACCTCATGCTCCGCCAGCCTCGGCCTCCCAAAGTGCTGGAATTACAGGCATGAGCCACTGCGCCCAGCGGGGAGGGGATTTTTTTAAACCAGAGCTTCCAAATTGGAGATGATGCTAGGCTCCTCAAGCCTATTAATGACCAACAAGAGATCAAATCTAAACTTAACCTACTTCTGCCAAGAACATTCCCCAAGTTATTGCCTCTTCACAATCCATCTCTTGGTAAAACTCATGGTTCTTAAAGTCATCATCCCACACGTAAGTGCCTATAGGAAAATAACCAATTTTGTAAAGAGGGAAGATCAAGCGGGTGCGGTGGCTCACACCTGTAATCCCAGCACTTTTGGAAGCCAAGGCAGGAAGATCACTTAAGCCCAGGACTTAGAGACCAGCCTGGGCAACATATCGAGACCTTGTCTCTACAAAAAGTCAGCCGGGCATAGTGGTGCATGCCTGCAGTCCCAGGTACTCAGGAGGACGCCCAGGCCTGAGCACCTGTGGCTGTGAGTTTTCACCCAGTGCTGATTTGCTTGCAATGTTGGGCAAATAACCTCTTGGGATGAAGGGTTTAATGGTCATGCTGCCTTACAAGGGAGAAACTGCAAGGCAACCACTCAGCAGAAAGGACCAATGGAAAATACTCTATGGAAATCCAGAAGCCTGGGGACACAGGGCCTCAGGCTCCTTTTTCAGTTTCTATTTGAGGTTGAGGAGGGATGGCCTCCCTCAGTAGAAAGTAAAGGTAGTGGTTGGGTGCAATGGCTGTAATCCTACCACTTTGGGAGGCTGAGGCGGGCAGATCACTTGAGGCCAGGAGTTCGAGACCAGTCTGGCCAACATAGCAAAACGCCGTCTCTACTAAAAATACAAAAAAAATAGCTGGGCGTGGTAGCAGGCACCTGTAATCCCAACTACTCGGGAGGCTGAGGCAGGAGAATCACTTGAACTCAGGAGTTGGAGGTTGCAGTGAGCTGAGATCGCACCACTGCACTCCGGCCTGGGCGACACAGGGAGACTCCATCTCAAAAAAAAAGAAAGAAAGAAAGTAAAGGTAGCAACACAGCTCTTCGGTCAAAGCTGCAGTCCAGCGATGAGTTAATTACTCAACTTAGCTTCCCTAAGCCTCTTTGTCCTCATATGTAAAACAGGGATGATAAATAATAATACTTACATCGTAGGATTGTTGGGAAGATTAAGTGAGAGCACTTATGATAGCACATGGTAAACGCTCAGAATTCAGGGTGGCCACTACATCTAGAAACATCAGGGGATGCAGAAATGCTGTACTGATATTAATTTCCTTATGTGATAAAATCACTTCTGTGTTTCCAGACTTGCTGGTCACCCTGCACATCAGCTGACAATTATTATTCGACAAATTACACTCTGCTAGGTGTTGAAAGACATCTCTGCCCAATACTATTGTATCTCCCCTGGTGCCCAGAATTCCCACAGGATTCACTTGCTTGCTATAAGTTTGAAGGCATTAAAGGCTTCTTTTACATGCAAAGCTCAACAAAGAAGGATAACATTAAGCCATTAAGAGTCATCAATACCTTAGCTCAAAAGAATGTATCAGCTCAGACTTAGCGTGGAGCAGGACTTGGAACAGCTCAGGTTTATTCTGAGGGGTAAGGATCAGTTGACGAGGGCCCAGGGTACGGGCTCCTATTTGCATCAGGGTTCTGCAGCCGAATGAGGAAACTGTAACAGGGGCCCAATACCATTGTGACAAATACCAAAATTTGTCACTATGTGGGGGCCAGAAACTGGAAGATGGAAGTAAATCTAACTTCATCTTCTTGAGTTATCGCCTCTTCACAATCCATCTCTTGGCAAAACTCATGGTTCTTTTTTTTCTTTTTCTTTTTCTTTTTTTTTTTTTTTTTTTTTTTTTTTTTTTTTGAGACGGAGTCTCACTCTGTTGCCAGGTTGGATTGCAGTGGCACAATCTCGGCTCACTGCAACCTCCACCTCCTGGGTTCAAGCGATTCTTCTGCCTCAGCCTCCCGAGTAGCTGGGACTACAGCCATGCACCACCACGCCCGGCTAATTTTTCTATTTTTAGTAGAGACGTGGTTTCACCATGTTTACCAGGATGGTCTCTGTCTCTTGACCTTATGATCCGCCTACCTCGGTCTTCCAAAGTGCTGGGATTACAGGCGTGAGCCACCACGCCCAGCCCAAAACTCATGGTTCTTAAAGTCTCCATTCCACAACATAAGTGCCTACACTACCCTGTCCACCTGCAGGAAAATAACCAATTTGGTAAAAAAGGGAAGATCAGCCAGGCACAGAGGCTCATGCCTGTAATCCCAGCACTTTGGGAGGCCGAGGAGGGAAGATCACTTAAGCCCAGGAGTTTGAGACCAGCCTGGGCAACACAGCAAGACCTTGTCTCGATAAAAAGAACTTAAAAATTAGCCAGGCGTAGTGTGAGCATCTGTGGTTCCAGCTACTCAGGAGGCTGAGGGGAGACGATTGCTTGAGCCTGGAAGGTCAAGGCTGCAGTGAGCTGTGATCACACCACTGCACTCCAGACTGTCTCCAGAAAAAAAAAAAAAGCAAGCAAGAAAGAGGAAGATCAAGTTCATCCCCCTCTTAGCACAGCAGTCCACTTTGACAGTGACATCAGAAGCCTTGGTGAGATTTCTGCATTGTGGCAAAATTGCATTATCACTGGATCACTGGGAACCCATCTCAGATACGGAGAAGGATAATCCTCCCCCTCCTTTGCATAGACTGTTAAGTATTCTGTTTTGTTTAATTACCTAAGACTTCTTTAAAGGGTCCTCTAGATGTTCAGCCAGGCCACGCTTATGCAAGAGCAATAGATAGGGTGGGATCCAACGTGAAGCTGGAGCCATGGTAATTACAGGGCAAAAAGGTTGGTCTGACGGGGTACGTGGGGTTTCTGTATTAGACATTTCATATTTCATGTGGACAAGTTTGATCCTTTAAGCTCTGAAAACACCCAGAGGGCAAACTGTCAGCACCATGCACAAGAATTTTGCCCTGAACAAAATGACCTTTGAGTTCTTAACTGGTTTCATATTTTCCAGGTCTCTGCATACATATTCCTCTTTGGTCACTCCCTAACATCTTAAACGCATTTATTTGCTGGTAGGTTTTGGCCTCCCTGGCCAACAGCCACTGATTAACATCTAGTCTGCAAACCATGTAGAAATGTAATCCTTAACAAAATGAGGGAAGTTCCCAGCAAGCCAACACATTGTATTGATTTGCAAACTTCAGCCCAACTTGAGCATCCCTTCTTACTAAATTACAGCTGTCTGTCTTCAGCGAAAATTCATGTTTGCCATTCAGACTCTAGGATCAAGCTGGAACTCTTACTGGTCACACCTTCAACAGGCATTAAGTTCCATCGTGCAAAGCACAATTCAAAGACTTTTAATGGGCATCCATTGACAAAAATGGGACTTTTTCTTTTCTTTTCTTTTCTTTTCTTTTTTTTTTTTTTGAGACGGAGTCTCGCTCTGTCACCTGGGCTGGAGTGCAGGGGCAAGATCTCGGCTCACTGCAGCCTCTGCCTCCTGGGTTCCAGTGACTTGCCTGCCTCAGCCTCCTGGGTAGCTGGGATTACAGGCATGCACCAGGACACCCGGCTAATTTTTGTATTTTTAGTTGAGACAGGGTTTCACTATGTTGGCCGGGCAGGTCTCGAACTCCTGACCTCAGGTGATCCGCTCACCTCAGCCTCCCAAAGTGCTGGGATTACAGGCGTGAGCCACCACGCCCAGCCCCCCCCAAAAAAAATGAGACTTTTTAAAATGACAAATCAAGGTGACAACTTTTATTTGGGATATTTCTATCTAGATGTCAAACATCTATTTCTCAGTCCTAAGCCAATACAGCATTTCCCTCAAATTTAAGACTTACACTGTGGGCTTTTCTTTTCTATTTTTTATTGTTAGCGCTGAGAGCAGATATACCAACAGTCTCACAATCTAGGACAGGCCCTTGGGGACAAGGCTTTCTGTGTCCTTGGGTAACTCCGACACATCCCAGAGCTTCAGTTTCCGGGGGCGTGACAGAGAGGCCAGCAGTCTACCTTAGAGGACCGTGCTGATGGAAAAAGTGGATTGATAGACGCCTCTTTTTCTCCTCCTCTCCTTTCACCTTTGGCCAGCCAGCTGGCTCCGAGGGCAGACATTCTGCCAGCACACTTCTGTCTGGGGTAATGGAAAGCAGAGACACCTAATCCCCAAACTTCATCTTAGACACAACTGTAGTTTAAAACCTCCGCCTTCATCGGAGCTGCTGGTGATCCGTCCGTGCGGCGGGCAGCGATGCCGCTGCCTCTCCTTCCCCTCCTTTGTGGATGTGCGACGTAATGGAGGAGTGAGCTGACTCTGGACTCTATAAGGAAACCGTGCAACAGGGCCTGCGTCATGAACAGCCTGGACAGCCAGCCTCGGATGGAACTGACGGTGAGCGGTGCTGGCCAGAGCGGCAGCGAAGTGAATCAAGCTCCAAGTTCCATCCCTTCATGCCACCCACAGTCACATTTCGAGAGCCCAAGTGGCAGCTCCAAGCCCCCTGATCCAATTAAGAGGCACGGCCCTCCTGTCTTCTGTTAGAAGAAAGGGAGTGAGTGTCCCCACTTCCTCAACCAGTCAGCCAGAGCCACATTCATGACGTAATTGTTCTCAGGCACATCTTGTCACCCCAAGGAGATTGTAAACCTCTTAAGGGAAGGGTTGACTTCACACGTAGTTGGATTAGTTGCTCACTTACTTGGTATAATTTATTGGGAGCTGAGGGAAAGCTGTTTCCTGCTACTCACCCACCGTAGTCTCTGAAGTTTCATTCTTTTTTTTTTTTTTTTTTTTTTTTGAGACGGAGTCTCGCTCTGTCGCCCAGGCTGGAGTGCAGTGGCGCGATCTCAGCTCACTGGAAGCTCCGCCTCCCGGGTTCACGCCATTCTCCTGCGTCAGCCTCCCAAGTAGCTGGGACTTCAGGTGCCTGCCACTGTGCCTGGCTAATTTTTTGTATTTTTAATAGAGACGGGGTTTCACCGTGTTAGCCAGGAAGGTCTTGATCTCCTGACCTCGTGATCCGCCCGCCTCGGCCTCCCAAATTGTTGGGATTACAGGCGTGAGCCACCGCGCCCAGCCTGAAGTTTCATTCTTAAAAGAGCCTTTCATTGGGTAGAAATGCTGTCATGAAAACGACTTCATTTATAATTTTACAATTAAAAGGGGCAGAATAGCAGAAGTCCCTGTCATTTTCCTACACTCCACCATTACAGAAAGTCCCCATGTAGCAAGAAGCAATATAGAAAGAGGGCTTTCCTCCCTGCCCTGCTGAGAGATCTTGCATGAAGCCCTCTCCCTAATGCACCTCAGGACATTCATCACACAATGACAAAGATCACACTCTCACCTCACCTTGGGGTCCAAGGGACCAGAGTCATCCTGACTCTGAGATTAGAAGACATGTATAAAACTGCCCTGGGCTTAGGTAAAGGAATTTCTTCAGTTTCTTATGTCTTTAACCAATACTTTGGTATCGGGTACACCCACAGTCAGTGAGGCCAAGTTCAGTTGATAAATGCCCTCAGCAAATACAGCCAAGATTGAGGTCCCCATCTCCAGTTGGGGTTCACTAGTGAACTCTGCAGAGTAGAAAAACTCCCCAACTTCACCTATCTCATCTGACCGCAAGAGCCCTTCCCCTGCTGTAACCTCTAAGCTGTATCTTTCTCCAGAGCGAAGGACAGCCAGCTCCTCTTTTTTGACAAAAGATGAGCAGGAGATGTGATAACAGAAGCAAGAGGTTGGCGCGACGGCAGGAAAGGCCATGCACTGAGGAATGCAGGCCGACTCCAGGCGAGAGAAGGCGAGGAAGCAGATTCTCCCCCCTGGAGCCTCCTACGGGAACCAGCCCTGCCAACCCCACGACTTTAGCCCAGTGACAGTGATTGCGGGCTTCTGACCTCCAGAGCTGCAAGAGAATATGTGGGTGCTGTCAGAGGCAACTAAGTTCAAATAACCATTTGTGAATGACAAGTGTTATTTACATGTTAACATGTTAAATGTTATTTACAAATAATATTTGTTATTTGGAAATAACAAATAACCATTTGTTACAGCAGCTACAGGCAACTAAAACCGATGCTGACTGCATCGAGACCTGGGACTGGACATTCCAGTAGAGTGTGCCTAGAAGCTGAAGATCTCAGCATTCTGTGGGTCTGTCTCCAGGCCTCTGAGGGTCTTCAGACACATCCTGTCTGCCTCGCAGCTTCCCAGGACCTGCTATCTAACAAGAATCGGGAGAGACTGGAAGCCACTGTTTCTGATGGGTGATTTCAGTTTCGCCTCCAAGAAAGGGACCTATTTGTGTTCAAAGCAGCATAACACTGGCATTCATGTATTCAACCAATCCTATTGAGTGGGTCTTGCCTGCTGGCCACTGTGCTCCTAGCAGGATTCTGGGAGGAGCAAAAGGGACCTGGCACCCTTCCTTATGTTGAGCTCCTGTTTGGGGGCAAATTACTTATCCTTTCTATCCCATGATTTTCCTATGCATAAAATGAGGGGAGTAATCTTCCCACATTCCAGAGCTTTTCTGAGTCAAGTGAGAAAATCTCTCCAAAGAGTTCAGCACTGAGCGGGTGCTCAATGGAAACACCTGCTGTCATTTGCCGGGGGTTTGATGCGTTACAAGCTTGGTTTGTTAGCCTCTGTGCACTGTGTGATGCCAGCCTCCCAGCCCATTTTCTCAGGTTGATTCCTCTCATCGTCCAGGCTGAGTGAGTCCCAATGGTTGCACTGAACAAATCCATTCCCTTGTCTTTCTGGGATGGCCCCATGGGTCTACGCAGTTGTCAGAAGTCCAGAGGTCTGGTTTTCAGAAGAGTGAGTCCAATCCAGGAAATTGAGAATTTGCCACCGGAGGCCCATCTTGCGTCAAGGCACTTCAAGTCACTCTGGCACAAGGGAGCCCGAAGATGTTCAAAGTGAAGAACAGGATGCTTTCACACACCTGGGTCTCAAATTTATCAAAGACGGGCCAGCTCATGTGCCCGGCCTGGGAATGGTCTACCTGGAGTGGAGGAAAGTCACAGAGCTCCTGGCTCAGGATCATCGGGTTGGCGATGGCGGGAAAGCCAGGCAGCGTCTGCTCAGAGTTGGCTGTGACTGTGGGTGGAGGCTGTCTTGGAAGCTGCGGATGGTTGTGGGGCGGTGTGGGCCACTTGTTGCCACTACTCAAGCAGTCCCTGTGCTATCCTTGGCATGGTCGTAGCCTAGTAGACCCAATAAAGAGGAACAGAGACTCCCCAACAGTAAGAAGAGAGAGGGTGGCCACAGTTTACGAGGTGGCTTTTACTTAACGACCCCTTCCAGTTCATGAGATGAACTTTTAATGACCCTCAAAAAAACAAATGCTATACGCAAGCTTCCCCCAACCCCGCCCCTAGAGGCCATCAGTTTCAAGACAGCATTCAGGATAAACCCTTCCTAAGACTGCACTGCACGTGGCCAATTCAACAGCAAGGAGGAAAACTCTGCGGCTTCTTCTTATTTTATTTATTTATTTATTTATTTATTTATTTATTTATGTATGTATGTAGAGACAGACTCTCGCTCTGTCGCCCAGGCTGGAGTGCAGTGGCGCGATTTCAGCTCACTCCAACCTCCGCCTCCTAAGTTCAAGCGATTCTTGTGCCTTAGCCTCCTGAGTAGCTAGGATTGTAGGCGTGCACCACCACACCCAGCTAATTTTCATATTTTTACTAGTGACAGGGTTTCACTATGTTAGCCAGGCTGGTCTTGAACTCCTGACCTGAGGTGATCCTCCCGCCTTGGCCTCCCAAAGTGCTGGGATTACAGGTGAGAGCCACCAGAACCGACCATTCTGCTTCTTTTAAAAAACAGTTTGGTACTTTACAAGTTTGGTCAATGAATTATTAACTAATTTTATAATTTAGTTAAAAAAGGGAAGAAAACAAAACTTTAATTTTTCAGAAATGTCATATGCCCACAGGCAGCCCACACCCAATCCCCTCAAAACAAAAAAACAAAACCCGATTGGCTGGTTTCCCTGCAGAGCACGTGGTAGTCTGGGCATTGTGCAGCCCGCATCTCTGCAGCAGGGTCCTCTTCAGACCTGTTCTCTGAATGAGGACCTGGTCCTGGGAACCTCAATTCCCCACACAACATCCCTGAGTTACACAATCCCCGGCCCAAGCACAAAGCCTCCTCCAGGTGTTTACACATCTTTCAGGCTCTTGCTGGGGACCCAGCCCTGCCACCAAAGGCAGGGATGAGATGAGTGCTTTATACGGCATGGCTTTTGTTTAGCTTGAGACCAGTGGGGGTAGGGAAGGGCGAGGGGAGAGGGCCCACTCTCTAAATCCCTGCTCCAATGTGCAGCCTGCCGAACTGCACACAGACATGACAGGGGATTGTAAAAATGCACCACAGACAATGTAGCTAATGGACCAGGGTCCCCTGCACCGGAGCTCAAGGGCGTGTCAGGAAGTGACTCGGGGACACCAGGATCCGAACAGAGCATCCTAAAAGGAACCACTTTTCTGAGCACTGATCCACTTCCTCTGTTGATCCCCTTCTCCAAAGAGAAAGAGAGACAGGCAGGACAAGGAAAAAAAAAAAAAAAAAAAAGACTGGACTCTGGCTATAGCCCTAGAATAGCCTGTAAGCAATTCAGGCAGAATTTCTTTACACAATGGATGAGAGAAATATGAACCAGGCTGCCAAAATCAGCAGGAAAAGCAAGTCCTGTGTATTCAGCTCGAGAGGGGCCTGGACACATTTCAGAAAGAGCAGACTTCTAAGACTGAGGCGCTGACTCCTATCCCGGGTTGACAGTCATAAAATACAAGTTAATTTGCAGTTCACAAGATGGCACTAAGGGCAGATAGAAGTGAAATTCCCCCAACCCATCTGGAATCTTTTTTTTTTTTTTAATTTATTTTTAGACTGAGTCTCACTCTGTCGCCCAGGCTGAAGTGCAGTGGCGGGATCTTGCTCACTGCAACCTCCACCTCCTGGTTTCAAGTGATTCTCCTGCCTCAGCCTCCTGAGTAGCTGGAATTACAGGCATGCACCACCATACCTGGCTAATTTTTGTATTTTTAGTAGAGACAGCATTTCACCATGTTGGCAAGGCTTGTCTCGAACCCCTGACCTCAGGTGATCCGCCTGTCTCAGCCTCCCAAAATGTTAGAATTACAGGCGTGAGCCACCGCGCCCGGCCTCCATCTGGAATTTTTAATGGGCTACTCTCCCATCAGGCTTTTCAAATACCCTGGTCAAAATTATGGACCAGGCGTGGTGGTTCATGCCTGTAATCCCAAGCACTTTGGGAGATCAAGATGAGTGGATCACTTGAGGCCAGGAGTTCGAGACCAGCCTGGCCAATATGGTGAAACTCCATCTCTACTAAAGATACAAAAATTAGCTGGGCATGGTGGTGGGCGCCTGTAATCCCAGCTATTCTGGAGGCTGAGGCACGAGAATTGCTTGAACCCGGGAGGCGGAGGTTGCAGTGAGCTGAGATTGTGCCACTGTACTCCAGCCTGGGCAACACAATGAGACTCCATCTCAGAAAAAATAAATAAATAAAAATATGGCTGGGGGTGAGAAGAATCTTTTCCTCAGAAGAGTTGTTCTTAAAAAAAAAAAAAAAATCTCCAGTAGGTCTTAGAGAGTATCTCATCTAACTACATAGATAAGAAGTGTGCTCCCAGAGAAATCAAACAGAGAGCCTCACATCATCCTGTTAAATGGCAGCACAGCCAGGAATGAAGCCCTAGTTTCCAGACTCCTAGGACAATAGTCACAGCATGTTCAAATGATCAATGAATGCCTCAGAATTCCAGGGTTTTCCCCTTCCTGGGCTCTTTGCAAAGCGTATGGACAAGTCAAACCTGATGATGTCAAATCTGCTTGAGCTAGAGGGTACAAAGAAAAATGAAGATGTTTTCCAGAAGTTTGCTTCATTTTGAAGGGCAAAAGGTGTTGGTGTGTTGCTCTGCTGATTTAGATAATGGCTAGAATTTTTGTTCTATGGATAAGATTATATGCCATTGTTCAGACGTTTTCTTTTGGTCTTTTAATCTCTCCTTAGCTTGGAAGTTGCAGAGGGCTCACCAATGTCCTCTGTCCAGGCAGATCACAAAAATGGCTCTGGGGTGGATTTGGGGTTGAGGATGTGGACAGGGGAATGGAACAAGAGAAAATGGAGTAATAATATCTCTACATCTCCAAAATGTAAATAGGACAATTTACCATGAGGAGGAAAATATCCAAGGCAGGCAATGGATTGCATTGGAGTTTGTGGGCTTGAATTTGGGGAACAGTTGTTTCACTAAACTCGAGTCACGTATGCAGTATCTGGAAAGAATCTGCACCCTTCACACACTTTTAAACTTACGAAATACCAAAATGAAGTCTTGTGATGAGGAGTACACTTTAAAAACAACTTTAAGACCTTAGAAAGCTTTAGAAAGCAAGGGTCAGGTGCGGTGGCTCATGCCTGTAAACCCAGCACTTTGTGAGGCCGAGATGGGTGGATCACCAGACGTCAGGAGTTCAAGACCAGCCTGGTCAACATGGAGAAACCCTATCTCTACTAAAAATACAAAAAATTAACTGGGTGTGGTGGCGCATGCCTGTTATCCCAGCTACTCAGGAGGCTGAGGCAGGAGAATCACTTGAACCTGGGAGGCGGAGGTTGCAGTGAGCCGAGATTGCACCATTGCGCTCCAGCCTGGGCAACAGAGCAAGACTCCGTCTCAAAAAAAAAAAAAAGAAAAGAAAAGAAAAGAAAGGTTTAGAAAGCAGACGCTGATCTCAGAAAGCAAGCTCTGGGTAACCCTAGTTCCATCACAACCTGTCTGCTTAGGGACTAACCCAGAGGCCCAATGAGAAGCTCACCACAGTTCAAGCAGTTCGTTTTAAAGGGGAACAACAATATAAATGTCACAACGTAAGAATGACATCACTGGAATCTTGATTTCTCTATTTCCTGATCTGTCTTTTAAAAAATTTTTTTAAAAAAAGGTCAACTTAGACACTTGGGTATTTGTTGAATAAATGAAAAAAGTGCTTAAATCCAAAAGCACTACAGAGGAGTTTATAAATAGCAGAACTGTTCAATTCATATGTAATTTTTTCTATTATGTTGGCTTTTTAAATGTTTTAAAGAAATAACCCAAATCCTCAGATATTTTCCAAAAAAAAAAAAAAAAAAACCCCATATTCTCCTATAGATGTGCTAATACAACAACTTCAAAAGTGAGGTGAAACAGATTGGAAATTAGGAATACAATCGACTCAAAAATTTTTTAGCCATATTTTAGGTCTGCGATCTTGTTCTACTTTTCTAGATTAAACCCGCTTTAGTATTGCTCCTCTACTGTGTCTTATATTTTTGAAAAAAGAAAAAAGAACCAAACCATTCTGGCCATTAAAATATATGATAATATTCCAAAGAAGAAACTGAATCGGCCGGGCGCGGTGGCTCACGCCCCTAATCCCAGCACTTTGGGAGGCTGAGGTGGGTGGATCATTTGAGGTCAGGAAGTCGACACCAGCCTGGCCAACATGGTGAAACCCTATGTTTACTAAAAATACAAAAATTAGCTGGGCGTGGTGGTGGGCGCCTGTAGTCCCAGCTACTTGGGAGGCTGAGGCAGGAGAATCGCTTGAACCCAGGAGGCAGAGGTTGCAGGGAGCCGAGATTGCGCCACTGCACTCCAGCCTGGGCGACAGAACCAGACTCTGTCTCAAAAAAGAAAAAAAGAAAAAGGATCTGAATCACTGTTATTATATATATATTTATATTTTACAGCTGTTGCATCATCTGCTAGAAACATCTTAGAAGGTTCAATCAATGCCCACAACAATGAAATGACATTTCTTTGAAGAAGGAATGGGATGAAGTGTACCTTAAACAAAACGTAGCTGAGATACTGAGTTTGGGATTTTTCCACGTGTCCCCCGCCCCTTGTCCAGCCCTAAGAATGTCAAGAATTTGAACTCCCTGTTCTTAAGGTGAAAGGGCATTAACTCAAATCTGTTCATGAAGCAAAGCGGTGGCAAACTTTAAGACATTGGAACTATATGACAAAACCTCCCAAGTTTACCACAGCCAGCAGTGATTCTTTCCTTCAGTGTTTCAAAAGTAATTGGAAACAACAGTCGAGTTGTAGGTCATTAATTAGGAGCCAGAGAGAGCTCCATTTGCATCTCAGTAATGCTCTACACCTTTATTTCAACATTTAGCTTTAGGTTTAAAATATTTGCTAAGATAGTGCAGAGGCGATTAACAGAGATTTCATTTAAATGTGTGCTGTAGTTACACACTCCATCCACAGGAAAAGAAAACTATACAGCAGAAGTTACAAAATGGTTATTTTGTGTTTCGAAAACATTCCAATAATCCCTTCACTGTGGTGGTATTCATTCAACAGTAGAAAAGCAAAACAGAAATGAACACGAGCAGCCGGCTCGTTTCCATCTCAAAGAGAACCTCGAGGAACGCATCAGCTGCAGTTTGCGCCTGGGAATCTCAGCGTGGAAATCTTCCCAGTCCTCCTTCGAGGGCAGGAGGAGAGCAGGAAGACACACTGCCACTCACTAGGGGACCCCAGATGTCACCCCGGCCCCAGGATAAATTCCTCCAGGTCGCATGTAGAACTCCAAATATTCCCAGCTCCCCCCAAAATAGACGTTGACTCTCTGGGGTTAGCATCGGTTCCTAGTGAATAACTTAACATGTCTGGTTGTTAAGTTGTTTCTTTTAACTCCTTTCTCTGAAATTAGCTAGAGCTACCAGATTCTAGAAGAGCTCGGCCACCACGTGGATACGATGTCATTTTGTAGTTTTAAAATATTTTCACTTTATTATTATGCTTATAATATTATTCCAACAGACTGTATTAAAGGCAGTGATCACTAACACAGAACACGACAGGGCGAAGAGGCAGCCGGGCCGATTGCAGGACGTGGCCTGTCGGGCCAGGGTCGCTGACATGCACGCTGGTAGCTCATACACTGCTACCCTCAGCACAGGCTGCAGGAATAGGGACAAGACAGATGCCGCCGGACTCTTAGAAGCTATTTAATAAATATCATCCAAAAACAAAATGGAAAAGAAACAAGAAACCCTCCGAGCACAACCACCTTAGGCCAACTGAATGTAATCTAGTTTATTCAACCAAAAATTGAGAGAGAAGGAAAATATTGAAACAAACAAACGAAAGAAAGCAGTTCTTAAGACTAGCAGTAAATAAATTTATACAACAGTTCGGTCTGTATAATATGATGAAATAAATCTACATCTTTTCTTATTTTGGTGCTTTGAATTATACATACAAACAACAATTACAGGGACTTGTTCACAAAGCATGTAGGCCTAGAAAAAGGCTCTCTGAAACCCTCAACGGCAACTGGTGAACGGTAACACTGATTGCCCAGAACTGGTATTTCCTTTGCAGAGGCCAACAGCTTTGAACAAATGATTCGCCTACAACTTTTTTCTTTTTTTTTCTTTTCTCTTTTTTCTTTTTTTTATTTTCTTTTAATGCATCAAACAACTGTGGCCAGTGAAAGGAAACAAAACTGGCAGTTTGTCCATTTGAATATCAGACCTAGTTTCTTCTTAATTTCCACACTATTTCTCCCATATTCCTTAAACTTCTTGGCATCCTTCATGCCTTACAGCTACCCAGATGCAATAAAGTCATTGTACAGTATTTCTTACAATATAAGTTATATGCAATGTTCAGCATTTTTTTTTTCACAGCACTAGAGACCCTGTTAAATAGGGGATATGAGTCAGAATGGCTTATTCACAGATGGGGTCCAGATTCAGTGGTTGGAACACAGACACCACAGTGAGCTCCTTTGCAAAGTGGCAAACATAATTTTGCTTTCTGCCTTCAAAAACATATATCCATCGCGTTTAGGCTTCATGATACTGCTCCTGCAAAAATGCAAGTCGAAAGGGACTGCAGGGACTCTCGCTGGGGGCCCTGTGAGCA
The DNA here is from genome assembly GCF_000001405.40 of Homo sapiens. NCBI lineage: Eukaryota > Metazoa > Chordata > Mammalia > Primates > Hominidae > Homo > Homo sapiens. The sequence continues at coordinate 8,074,035 of NC_000010.11, read as the reverse complement.
TCGAGCAGGGCTCTAACCCATGGCGGTGACCATGCTGGAGGGGTGGTGTGGTCCAAAGGACAGGCTGGATGGCGGGTGCATCGGCGTGGGCGTGGTCAGCATGTGGCTGGAGTGGCTGAAGGGCGAGATGTGGCTCAGGGAGGACATGTGTCTGGAGAGGGCGGCCGGGTTAAACGAGCTGTTCTTGGGGAAGTCCTCCAGTGAGTCATGCACTTTTTTGCACTTTTTGGATTTGCTAGACATTTTTCGGTTTCTGGTCTGGATGCCTTCCTTCTTCATAGTCAGGGGTCTGTTAATCTAAACAAAGATCAATTTTTTTTTTTTTTTTTTACTTTTTTGCTGCCTCTGAAATGCACAGGCTCTCGCACACCAAGAAGGGTTCCACTGACCGCCCCGGATCAGGGATCTGTTTCCATTTCAGCTGGCCCCTTCCTCCCTCCCACCTTCTCCTGTCTCCTTCCCAGGGACTGAAGAACTAAAATACATACAGTTACCAGATTACAGCCCCGTCTAGTACGATTGTATTTCTCTGGTAACGAAAATAGAATTCACTTGTCTTATTTCTTTAGAACTTCCTTAGACTATTTCATAAGAATCGAGGTAGTGAAGAATCTTCAGGAGGGAAATGCCATTTTGGCTACTTTGACAAATCTGCTTCAGAACTTGAAAAGTACTCCCCAGGCCATCAGCCTCTAGGTGGTTAAGGCTGTCTGCCTTGAAGAAATGAGGACTGTACTGTTCTACTGAGTAACTTTCGGTTGCCTCTCTTCTACCTGGCCTTTAAGAGGTGCCATAAAATCTTCCGCTAGAATTTATATGTAGCCGGGTTGTATTTTATGAAACCATGCCTTTCTTAAAGGTGATCTTTTTTTTTTTTTTTTTTTTTTTTTTGAGACGAAGTCTCCCGCTGTCGCCCAGGCTGGAGTGCAGTGGCGCGATCTCGGCTCACTGCAACCTCTGCCTCCCGGGTTCAAGCAATTCTCCTGCCTCAGCCTCCTGAGTAGCTGGGACTAGAGGCGCCTGCCACCACACCTGGCTAATTTTTGTATTTTTAGTAGAGACGGGGTTTCACCATATTGGGCAGGCTGGTCTCGAACTCCCGACATTGTGATCTGCCCACCTCGGCCTCCCAAAGTGCTGGAATTGCAGGCATGAGCCACCGCGCCTGGCCCAAAAGTGATCTCTTGCCTGTGTCATTCCAACAGCAGCTGCAATGGTTGCAAGTGCTATTTCCACCTAGCTCTGACTCTCCACTTCTAACCAGACAAACAGCCAACCAACCAATCAACATGTATTTAATAACCACCTATGGGGTGCAAAGCACAAAAGGGCACTCATCTTGAAAAGGAAAGACCAAGAATGTGCTAGAGTAAAGAGACAGAGACCAGACCCTACTCTCAAGATCAAGAGACTTCAGTCTCGGAGACATCTGCCATTTCTCTCTTCTTAATAAACCTCATTTGCCTTTAAAAATACATTTGCTTTGGGGGCCCAGAATCAAGAAAGGAAACTTTACAAAGTAAACAGAAGTTACTCCCCACAGGGAGGCAGAAGCAGATTAACCCCAACAGCAGACATCTGCCCGGAAGAGCAAACTCCACATCTGGCCATGTTCCCAGGGGAGGGTGGCAAACAGACTCAAGGAGTGAATGTCAGTGTCCTGGCCATTCCTGACTTCCCGGGCTGAAAGCATCGCCTTCCGCCACAGTTCTCAAGGGTGGAGAACCCTTGGCTCTGGGTTTTACCTGTCTGTTCCCAAAGCCAGAAAATCACAGCTAAGAAAGGAAGAATTCAAATGGCCAACCTGCTGAGAGCAGCCAACACCCAGCTTCCCGAAGCTGAGCTGGGAGAGGTCACCTGGAGAAGGAAACAAAGCCCCACACTGGAGCTGAGACCTTATTTTCCCCAAGCCCAGGAAGGCAACGTGACCGATGGCAGGAGAGCCCAGAAAGGTCACTGCCAGAGGAACATCTCCAGGTTCCTTCTTCAAAGTTATCATCAAGATAAAGATGCAGCCTACAGAGATGACAGGAATCTACTCCCACATCAAATCTTCACCAAGATAATGTCCAGATACACAGCTCTGATGCCGATATCTAGCTATACATAGCCAGGTATCTAAATATAATATCTAGTTACACCAGTAGCCACACAACCCCAGATAACCAGTCACAACACCACTGAGAGATGCTGATACCGAGGTAGGCAGTTATCTCAACACCTAGATAAGAAGAAAGAGCTTATGGCATCCATGTAGAGATGTCTGGAAGGGCAGAGCAAAACGCAACGTGATGACAATGTTAATAGATTATTATCTCTTATTGTTCAATACACATCAATCGCCTCCTTTTACAAATTCCTGGTAAACCAGAGAAGACAGAAAAACCACTCTTGAGGATGAGGAAGTTTCTGTCTCCCATTCACTGGAGCCCAGCCATGAAGACCAAGCTCATTAAGATTGAGGAGGTAGAAGTGAGCCATGGAGAGGATTCCTCAGCTTTACTTTGATTTGAGAAATTCATGTTCTTCAGAAATATATATATATGTGATCAGACACAAGTGAGATCATATCTCATCCCAGCTAACTATTCAAAAAAACATATAGCTAGTTAATCTCCTATAATTCCTATACTTCCACGAATATAGGGATGAAATATACACACACACAATTTGTTACAATTTTGTTATACTCTAAAAAAAGAGAGCATTCCCTTTCCCCTGGTTCTCCTCTTAGTTCTGACACTGCCAACTTCCCAGGAAAGCCTCCTGACTCTGAAATGGGCCCTGACTCTTATACTTTCTCAGCCACGTTACCTTGTGCAAGCGACTTGCTTTTCTGAGTCATAACTCCCTCAAGTAAAACTGAAATAAAAATAATTTCTGCCCTGTCTACATCATGGGACTATCTCAGGCTCAAATGTAATCAAGTAACATGAAAGTTCTTTGAAATCCATAAATTACAGCCCAAAAATAATTTCATAGGCAGTGCTGATGACTGGATAGCTAATAAACCCTAATGCTAATAACCTAATAGCTTATAAGCCCAAGCCTTCCAGATTTTAATCACGAATCTCTATCTCTACTGTAGTCAGCAAGCAAATTCCCCAAAGTGAAAATAGAACTTGGATTGAATTGCTGATAAATGTATATAGACCACAGTCCCAGGACCTAAGGGAGAATAAGGGATCGTAGTAAGACTCTAGTTTCATTCACTGCACCAGGGCCACAGCGAGAGAGTTGGCACAGGCAGGGAATGAGCGTACAGGGCTCCTCGGAATCACAGCAACTTGCTCCCAAGAAGTGAAAAAGAAGCAGGGTGCTGGGGTCACCCTGAGAAGTTCTTTATGACTCAAAAAATCCAACCAGAAAAGCTTCCTCCCCAATTCCCAGGTATTCCTGAGTAAGATGAGTTCATTGCCAGAACCGCCGCAAGCAAAAGTCCCTGTCTCCTCCCTGTTCAGCCCCGGACTTTGCCAAAGTCAGGTTGGCCAAGAGAATTTAGGAGAATCAGAAAGAGCTAAAAAGGAAGGAGAGAGAGAGCAACACAGAGAAAGACCAAAATAACCATTTTTGTCTTTAGAGTTAATGTAAACTTGAAGCCTCACTAGAATCATGGCCTCTGAGCCAGAATGATTTCAGGAAAAAAAAAAAACTGAAAAAAAAATTTTTTAAGATTAAGATATGTTACAAAATGAGAGGACCCCAAATGGAAAGATCAGAAATGACACAACTAAATTCAGGTGACTGGCAATTACCGCTCTGCTAACATGATATAAAAGGAGAAAATGACAGTTTATTTTCCCTGGTATGGTAACATCCCCCAGGCCAGCCACCTTCCTCAGGAGCTAGCTCTCTACACGTGAAAGTTGGTTCGGACAAAGACATCAGACGAAATCTGTCAGACATTTTTTTCCATGTCTTTTATACAGAGGATCCATTTCAAATTTGTAGCACAGATTTAGCCAAGACTTTTTACCTCTCAGTAACCAAATGGGTCCTCTTAGTTTCCAGACCCCCTGCCACACATTACAATTCTATTTACCTTTCTCTTTCATTCTCTCTTTCTGCAAAGAGTTTAAAATGTAAGGAAACAACAAAATAGGACCGGTGGCTTTTTTTGTTTTCCAAAAGGAAGATTTTTTTTTTTTCCTTATAAACCACACAGGCCCACTCAGCACATCGGATTGCTGCATGGTATGTGGAGTGTCCAATGCATACCAAGGGGGTTGTGTGGCTGCCAGGCTGTGAGCCCCCTCGGCCTCAGCACGGCTATGCTAGACAAAGTAGTTTTCCAAGCTAGGTCCTATTGCATCAATTATTTGGAACCTGTCATCTGCCCCCATGGTGAGCGATTCACTTGGAGAGGGTGGTGGTGACGCTGTTTGCTGGTCACCATCAGGAAGCGAGCCCTGTTCTTGCTGATCCCAGTCCACTTACATTGTGAAGCTTGTAGTAGAGCCCACAGGCATTGCAGACAGGGTCCCCATTGGCATTCCTCCTCCAGAGTGTGGTTGTGGTGGTCTGACAGTTCGCACAGGACGTCCCTGCTCTCCTGGCTGCAGACTGAGAGTGGGGAGAGAGGAGAGGGTGAAATCAAAACAAATGTTAAATGTGTTGTCATCACTATGAAGACAGGCTTGAAAAAAAAAAAAAGGAAGGAAGAAATTATCATTGAAATCAAAACTAGCAAGTGGTCCACATGAAAGTAATACAGATCCCCAAAAGCTGCCTCGAGAAGAAAAATGTCGCCACTCCACTGGAGCATGTCAGGATTGCAGTAACGTGGTCAGAGTTTCACCTGCTGCTCCCCGGTAGGAGCAGGAAGCCGGGGCCTCCTCCCTGGCAGTCTTAGCCTCCTACCCTCAACCCACAAAGTACACCAGAGGGTTAATTTTTATGGGTGGCAATTTTGAATTAGCCAGCCTCATTTTGGAACTGGGCTTTCAGTTGCCTTTTTCACCAAGTCCAGGGCCACAAGAGGTTGTTTTCAAACACAACTCCCAAGAATATCCATCCTCAAACAGGCTCCAGCCATCAGGATGCATTCACAGCAAAGGAGGCGCAAAGCCAAGCACCAAAAACACTCTGGATCGCAAATAAAGAAATGCTGAGTTATAAAGAGAACAGTGTGCCAACACAACAGCAAATTCTGCAAAGAATGTCTGTGCAAGTGTGTGGCACATACACATGGGTGACACACCTGAGGAAGCGCCAAGTAGGACATCCTAGGTCAACAAGACCTCCTAAATTTATACAGCCTGCACTTTCTTTTTTTCTCGTTTTGAGATGGAGTCTCGCTCTGTCACCCAGGCTGGAGTGCAGTGGTGCGATCTCAGCTCACTGCAACCTCCACCTCACGGCTTGAAGCAATTCTCCTGCCTCACACTCCCGAGTAGCTGGGATTTATAAGCACCTGCCACCATGCCCGGCTAATTTTTCTATTTTTAGTAGAGACAGGGTTTTACTATGTTGGCCAGGCTGGTCTTGAACTCCTGACCTCAAGTGATCCACCTGCCTCGGCCTCCCAAAGTGCCGGTATTACAGGCGTGAGCCACCACAGTCTGTGCTTTCAAGCTTGGTCACTTCCCATTCACAAGACAGCCACCCTCACTCTCTTTAGCTGGCTGTCACCTAAATTTGATTCACCAATCAAACAAACTCAAAAGACCAAGGAATGTTGCCACTCATCAGGAACCCTGGATCCCTCGCCTCCTCTGATGCCAGTCCACCTTCATGAAATCAGCCATTTCCTACTTGCTGTTCATGGAGTAGCATAGTTGCAGGTCAAAGGTCAGCCTCAACCTGAATTTTGATTCCTTGGTTGTGTTACTGCCCTCATTTCCTTTAAAAGAGAGATTTTTCTTTCACTTTTTGACATATTTAAATTGATCAGGTGACTATTCTCTGTTCACGCTTTAAAAAAATAAAACTGAAAAAAACCATTGGAAGAAAATGGAGTTGGGTCACTTCTAATGTAAACCTCTCTCTCCTCCTCACCTTCCATCATAAAAAGAAAATTTTAACTGCAAAATTATCCCCATTCCTGGATCAAAAATATTATCAAAGGAAAGGTAAGAGAAGAAAGAGTTTAGTCTCTGTCTGTGATGAAGAAAATTCTGGTATGGTTATAAGAACACAGAACAAGAACTATAGGGATCCTGGTACAGTTTTGTTTTTTGTTTTTTGTTTTTTGTTTTGTTATGTTTTCTTTTGTTTCTGAGACGGAGTCTCGCTCTGTCGCCCAGGCTGGAGTGCAGTGGCGCGATCTCGGCTCACTGCAAGCTCCGCCTCCTGGGTTCACACCATTCTCCTGCCTCAGCCTCCCAAGTAGCTGGGACTACAGGCGCCCGCCACCGCCCCAGCTAATTTTTTGTATTTTTAGTAGAGACGGGGTTTCACCTGTGTTAGCCAGGATGGTCTCTATCTCCTGACCTCATGATCTACCCGCCTTGGCCTCCCAAAGTGCTGGGATTACAGGAGTGAGCCACCGCACCCGGCCTGGGATTCTGGTACAGTTTTATATCAATATTTTATCAAGCAAAAAGTTGAAGCCAACACCCGAAGCTGCCAGATATGGAGAACCCAGTGACAATTTTGAATTAACCTGAGTGACCCTTTTTCTTTCAAAGTTGCTAAATTGTTTCACAGATATGCTTCTGTGGGATGTAAATAACAGAGTATATATGACCTTTTTAAAAAAATTCTTTCTTTTCTGTGTTCTAAGGAACTGGAAACTAAAAACTGCCCTGGCCTATCATAAGGGAGAAGATGGGAGTCTTTTGCTGTCCATCTTGAATGTAATTCACATTGTCCATGAGTGCTGATCTAACCCCATATGCCTCTGCCCGACTGCCTTTATGAAATATGGTAATTTAATGCTTAAACAACTGTTTCATTTGTGTACTTTTTGGGAGAAAGTACTACGTAAAACCAGTGCTTAATGATTTTGACAATTAAATTATATGTGATTATTATCTTCCTATAGTGTTTTTTTTTTTTAGAAGAGCTACTCAGATATAGCAGATTAATATCACTCAGGCACCTGGGTTTCCTAGCCCAGCAATTCTGAATGTACAGAGTACAAGCATATAATGCCAACTGGTAAAGTCAGAGCTCCAGATGACAAGGTACAGCATGTAATCTTTTGCAGTCTATTGACAGCAATCTAAATAAAAGCAAAGGAAGATGCTTCCAGTACTACAAACTTTATGGGAACTTAGGGTCTCTCAAAGCCACACTGTTTGGGTCACTAGCAGGAGGTACAGTATATTAAAGCAAGCAGCTCAGCCTCTCACTAGTGGTGAGATGTATGAAAATCCTGGCAATGCCAGGGGGAAAAGAATCTATGAGTCTTCCCTTCGGTCATCTCTCCTATTTCTTGCATTAGTTTTTTCAGGGTTAAATACACATCTCACAGAAGAGCTAGCTATATATGGGCTGGGTGGTCTTCAGTGAATCTGCAAATGTATCAAACAAAAATAGCAAGCTGGAACTGGAATAAAGGGTCAGGGAATACAGGAAAGAAGAAAACAAAGGGTTCTAGGTGTTCAGAAGTCAAATACATCTCAGGGCTAAAAAAAAAAAAGAAAGAAAGAAAGAAAGAAAAAGAAATCTGAGTGTGTCCTGTGTTCTACCTCCCTGTAGCTTATGAATTCTATAGAACTAAAAACATCAAACCACCAAAGACAGATGATTAAGAAAGAAAAGACAGATGAAAATGTGACAGTCATTGAACTCTAAAATTCAAAGCAATTATTACTCAGAGTTCTAGAGATTTCCTATGAAAGGTGAGTGGAGATAAAATTGCATAAAATGGAATTACGATCCTCCTCTGCAATCTGACCAGACAGAGGAAGAAGACCCAAGAAAATGTCAAATAAACTTTTGCTCACCAATCAGCCCATGCCTTGAGACTTTTAATCCCTCTTTTTCCTTCTTTACTTTTATTAGAAAAAAAACAGAAAAAACAAAAAAAACAACTATAATGGTACCAAGACACATTTTAACAAGAAGGTTTTTGTTTGTTGTTTTTTTTTCCTCTCTCTCTCTCTCTCTTTTTTTTTTTTTTTTTTTACTAAGGCCAGGTTTTTGAGTGATTCAAAACATTCTTTTGTGGTGTGATCATATTCATTCTGCACTAACACCTCTAGCCTTTTTTTTTTTTTTTTTTCAAACACTTCTTGTTCTGATACGTTCAAACATCTTGGTGTTTAGGTTGGGGAAGCTGAGTTGTTGTTTATGAGTTATCTCCAGTGCTCAGATATCCGGCAGCTTTTTCCTAGGAAGTCAGCTTTGCACATGAGAGAAAGGAAAAAAAAAAAAAAAAAAAAAAAAACCAAACTGCTGGAGGAGAGGTGGGGGAAGGTTGAGAAAGTTGGAGAAGGGGGCAAAGATCAGAAAGAATAAAGCCTCGATATCCAGGATTGTCAAAGATTAAAGTCATGTGGACATTTCCATCCCTAGAAAGTTTTCCTTCTTTGGCTGGGAGCGGTGGCTCATGCCTGTAATCCCAGCACTCTGGGAGGCCGAGGCGGTGGATCACCTGAGGTCAGGAGTTTGAGACCAGCCTGGCCAAAAAGGCGAAACCCTGTCTCTACTGAAAATACAAAAATTTGCCGGGTGTGGGGGCGGGTGTCCCTACTCCCAGCTATTCAGGAGGCTGAGACAGGAGAATTGCTTGAACCCGGGAGGTGGAGGTTGCAGTGAGCCGAGATCGTGCCACTGCACTCCAGCCTGGGTGACAGAGTGAGACTCTGTCTCAAAAAAAAAAAAAAAAAAAAAAAGAAAGTTTTTCCTTCTTCAAAATAGGATGTGAAAGGTGTTGAGTTGCACTACAATCTGATGGGGAGGGCAAAGTATTCTTTAAAAAGAATACAGAGGTGTTCTTTTTCCTTCCTTAGAAATTGATGGATGCTAATTTATCCATTAATCTGCGTGGGGAAATTCCCCTCCTCCCATCTCGACTTGGTGAATGTCAGCACCACATAAAGCATTTTGATCTCTTAGCTGTGGCTAGAGTTGTTATTTGTCTGTCACATACATTCACTATTCAAACTTCCAAAGAGGAGCTTGCAAATGAATGTCCCCTATAAGTTGTCTTCCTTATAAATGCTTGACAGAGCCAGGTTTTCTCAAGGATCCCTCATGCTTAAAAAGTTTTTAAAAGAATAATGAGAGAGGAGAGAAAAAACTATCACCTTACTGGTAGTAGTTCAAAGAGAAAAGAAGACCAAATGCCAGGTATGAGAGGACTCACACGACGTTTCCCATAGGAATTGCCTGTGGAAAGTTCTCAAATGCTGAGACCAAGAAAGGAGGAAAGTGGCATTAGGCTCACTGGTTGCTGGTGAAGCCTCTGAAATTCATTTAATCAGCTCCAACCATTTTGAAGCATTAGCATAACAAATCCATCCATTGCACTGAGTCTGTAATCCTTCCTGGGAAGCCACACGCCACAACTTCAGGAACCCATTCTGGATGGTTTCTGGAACATTCCGTCCTCATACTAAATGTCTCTATCTGTCAAACGGTGCTCATCAGTGCACTTAAACCAGCTGCTCTGGTCCTGTTCATACCATTATTCTATTCAGGAATACACTGCAGATTTGATAACCAAGAATTCAGTCTCCTTAAAATGTTCACAAGCGACTTAAGAAACATGGATGGGGAAAAAGAGGGGAAAAGAGCTGTTCTGTGTATCAAATTTGAAAAAAAAAAAAAAAAAGAAGAAGAAGAAAAGAAAGAAAGAAAAAGGAAAAAAAAAAAAACTGTCCCAAGCCAGCTGACACGATTGGAGGCTATCCTGTCAATTTCCTGCAGAAAGCTGTCCTTCCGGAAGAGAGGAAATGAGAAACCCAGAATGGTCAGCATGGAATCCATCCCTTCCCGAGAACTTACCAGCCTTCGCTTGGGCTTAATGAGGGGCCGGTTCTGTCCGTTCATTTTGTGATAGAGCCCGCAGGCGTTGCACAGGTAGTGTCCCGTGCCATCTCGCCGCCACAGTGGGGTCGAGGTTGCCCCACAGTTCACACACTCCCTGCCTTCTGGAAACAAAAGCACAGATAAGCCACTTAGGGAAGGAAAACACGCAGGAAAGCTGACAGCATTTGGAACTGGGGGAGAAACGTAAAATGGAGAACTTTTTTCCTTCTCCCTCCTCTTTTGGGGAGCGTGTCCACCCCCACCTCTTTCCAAGATGCTCCAAAGTTGAGCTGGGGAATGCTGTCCTGGCATGACCGTTCCCCCGACACACACGGAGGCGCCCGCAGAAGGGGCAGATGCATCGTTGCAACAGAACCCTGTTCTTGGCTTGCCCGACTTGATGGAGAAGATCGGGCAGGACCAAGGAGGAATGCAGATTCCAGCTACAAATACTTCCCTGAGAAAATCCTGAGCCCTGGATGGTGGCAAAAGGCAAACATTCCATTCATTTCCCTCAAAGGAAAAAAAGGAAGACAAAGGTGACCCATTATCATCATGGGTCTGTCTATAGAGATTGATTAAATAATGAAGATTAGGATGGGGGAAAGGAAGGATTCATCAATGGCTAGATAGGTGAACAGATAATAAATAGATGCATAGATTGATCAATCGGCTGATTGATTTCACTAGCTAGGGTTTTAGATTTTACTTCCAATCAAACTGCAAATGTCCCTGGCTGGAAAGGAAGCGATTAGGACCCAGCAGGGGTTTCCATAGCTTTCCAGCCGCTGTTACGGAGACTGAAGTTAAAGTATGACCCCAGCCAGGGGGTGCAAGGGGGAAATGCAAACTTTAGGCAGGGAACCTGGAAGAGGGGGAGGGAGGGAAAAAGGAAAAGGGAAGGTTTGGGAGGACAGAGTGAAGCCGATCAGAGGAAGATCAGGAGAAGAGGCAAGTTAACAAAGCGGGGTGGCTGCTCAGTAACCAAGGCCTGCCTACAGTTTCTCTTTTCCCAAAAACACAAACAAACAAAATAAACGAAAAACCAGCCAGGCCGGTAGGAAGTCTGAGCAGCATTCACTCCCTCAGCCCAGGCTGGAAAGCGACCCAGACCCACCCAGAAAGCTCCTTGGAAGAATCCCTTAAATTACCATTTCAAGACATGGGGGAGTTGGCTAACTGATTTCAACTTTGCAAGAGGAAGAGAAAGATGCTTTCTAGGAGAATCTCCTTGGTTTTGGGGGACCCAGGGACACACGGGTCTCTAGCGCCCAGTTCTCTGGGTGCCCAGAGAAAGCCAGGACTCCCCTTCCTTGCAGGAACAGGAGGCTTAACTCAAGTTGGTCCCCCAGAGAGGGGAGGCCCAGAGGAGGACCCCGGAGGGTAGGTAGGGAAGAAAAATGAGCTCTGAAGACTGTTTTGTTTTAAGAGAGTAATTAATGACCTCCAACCTGCCCGGACCACTGGGGTAGAAGAAGAGAACCCAGTAGGGTGCTTGAGAATTTTGATTCCCCTAAAAGGAGGAAAAATCTGCCTTGGCAGATATGGGACCTATTGGGCCTTTGGAAAGCCCCAGATCAAGTAGGAGGGAACTAGGGGGGTTCACACTTGGGGGCCTGTGATACTCTCCAGGGGTAAGTTCTTCAGGAAAGTTAAAGACTTTTGCAAATGGAAGAGGGTCTTGCACCCTTGAAAGTCAGGGATGGTGCCCACTAGTTTTTGTCTACTTTGTTTTTTAAAAAAAAAAAAAAAATGAGGATGTAAGAGAGGTTTTTTTTTTTGCTCCACATTCCAAAAGATTCTTAGCCTAGGGTCCCCAGAGAGCCTTTGCTGTGCCCCAGAACCCCTGAGATTAAACACAAACACGCTGCAGTGCATGCCAAAGGCGCCTTCCTAAGTACCCAACGGCTCTTCTCAGTTCTTGAAAAAGGCTCAGGCCTGAATCACACCCAGACACCTTTCAGTTGGGGTCAAAAGCCTGAGGGATGTGGCAGACTGGATGTGGGGGAGGCTGGAAGGAAAGAGTGAAGGGTGAGTGGGCGAGTAACCGGCTGCAGCCCAAGCCAGGCCGCAGGCCTGCCTTTTTGTGTCGCTGGTGGCTGCTGGGTCAGCCCCTTCTGGGGCAGCACTGGCCCTGTCCCAGCTAGGACTGCAGGCCCACTCCCCACCCTGCCCAGACAGGGGACCCCCTCGGGCTCCTCCCCTACTTGGGCACTGGGCAGAGGGCAGTGTGAGGAGAGGCCGCTGTGGTTGGAGGCGGGGAGCGTGGTTGCCACCCGGCTCCTGGGCACCCTGGTGCTGGGGGACCTCCCAGCCTGACATGATCAGTCTGATTTCCTCTCATTTGCAGGGTGGTGGGGAGGGTGATAGCTTCCTTTTCAGAAACACCTTGAAAGCTAGCAACGGTTACCTCTTCAACAAGGTTCTGCACACTAGGGTAATTTTCTGTCTTGATTCACTCGGCAAGGTTGCCATTGCCTCCTATGGGCTTTTCTTCTTCTTTTTTCCTTGCTGCCTCTGGTCTGTCACTTCAGCAAACAGCCAGTTTTCCTAATGGAGGCCCTGACTCTCTCCTGCCTTCTTTCCTCCCCTCTCCTCACCCCTGCCTGTTGTGAGCTGCTCAGGCAGACACCTCTCTCTTAGGTGACAAGAACCACAGAGCGGCGAGGCCTCTTGACATTCAACAGCTGCTGGCAAATGCCTCTTGCTCCGCCTTGGCCTGAAACCCTTAAACCAGGCTGTGGGAGGGGGTAGGGAGCAGGGCAGGAGCTCGATCAGATGACAGTGGAGGGAGATGCCCAACTGGAAAGGTGGCAGTGGAGCTAAGAAGCGGCCCTGGACACAAAGACTCTGTCTTTTGTTTGCAAAAGCTTCGTCCCAGCCCCGAAAGCCCAGGCGTTAAGACAGCAATAGGTGCCCTAACCACGACTTCAACCGTTTCCAGCGACAACCCCAAAAACTCTCTCTTCTCTGTGTCCTCCTTCAGCAAATGCATTTGCAAAGAAGAGGTTAAAGGGGTAAAAAAGAGAGAGAGAGAGAGAGAGAGAGCAACCACTAAAACCAAGAGAATCCCCTCCTGAAGAATTCCCACCACCTCCACCCCCTGCAAAAGGAGGGGCTTCTCGAAACTTCCCCTCCACACTCCCAAAAGTCCCAGCTCGCTCGCCGCCCCTGCCAGGTGTGCTGTTCTCGGTTTTCACGACTGTGAGAAAGGAATTAAGAAGGAGGAAGTAAAAAGGCCAAATTGAAATGGCCTCCTCTCCTCCTCGCCAAAAAAACCAAAATCGGTGTATCGGTATTCCTAGCTCTGGCTTAGGGAAACCACGGCCCTCTCTTTCTCCCCTCCATGTTCAGAGTCTTATGGAAAGAAATGAGAGGAAAGAAAAGACTAAACTTAAGGCAGAAAGTGTGCACAAGAGGGGGAGAAATCAAACACGGAAATGAGGGTAAAGAAACCAGAGTATCTTGGAAAAGTCACTCTGTCCCCTCCCCCCGCACAAACCACTACGCCGGCCTCAGATACCACGAGCTCTCCCCAACCTCATAGCCTTACCAGAAAAGAGAACTTTAAAAAAAAAAGAAAAAGAAAAGAAATCCCATCACAACCTCAAAATGCATAGGTCTGCTCTCTTTCGATTCAGCTCCCCAGCCTGTGTTTCTGAGTCAAGCTGCACCCCACTTCTTAATCCTTCCCTCCACCCCCAAGCCCAGCCCCTGCCAGGCACCGTGGCCACTTTGTGCCTCCAGCTCTCCCGGCCTCTTGCTTTCTTTTTGACTCCACCAGCTAGCCTGCCTCCCTCTCCCTCCTGCCTACTTTCATGTACTGAACATGCAGGTCTGGGTTCTTCTGTCAGCCTAACCGCATCCGGACTCTATTAAAGTTCCTGGCTCAGGATAAACAATGCAACTGTCGCGTGCAGCAGTCTGAAAATAATTGGATTAGCTAAAACATATCAACTAAATAGAGACAGTCCTGCTCAGGCAGTCGGAGTGAATGTCACCCTGGAAAAAAACCCTGAAAACTGATCTCATGGTCACTGGGCTCCCAGAGTACTCCCTCTGAAGTTTTTCAAACCGGAGCTTTGGGAGCTCGGTTTCAAGGCTGCTCATCTCATCCCTAAAAGACAAGTGATTTTCACGATTGCTTTCTATATAGGATCTGTAGAGAGACAGCGGAGGCAAGATACCTGGAGCCGATCAGAGAAGAGATGCCCACTCTGAAATGGACACGCCTAAGGAGACATCAAAATCTTCACCAAACCCTGTCTAATAATACAGTTAAATCAATATCAGAGAATCCCTAGCTCTCTTTTGACTCAATTACTTTGTTTAGAAATGGAATTGGTGATAGATCGATTTATTTTTAAAGCCAAAGTATTTTGTGTGGGGTTTTTCTTCATGCAAGTAATGACACCAACTGAATAAAAATGCAGCGTGCTGCTAGGCAGCGTTTGCATTTTGGAAAGGAACAGAGCACAGGAAGCTGAGATACACACCTGGAGCACTTTTCCGTTCCTTTCTACCTCCTCTGGCTGCAGCTCAGCCAAGCAATATGTCCTAATACGGTTTCCTGCCCCTGACTGCACTGAGAGCTCTAGGAGACGCTGCAGGTAACTAACTGGGCCAGGCGACATTTGATTTTCATTCAACTCTGCTTCCCCAATGCAAAGCCACCGCTTTCTCCCAGTTCAGCTGAGAGCCCCCTTTTCCACGCAGAGAATATGCGTGCAGCTTTGGCCAGGCTCATGCACACACACTTTGTGTCTACACGTCTAATAAAGGACTGTCCTCACTGCGTGGTCCCCTTTGAGCTGAGCGAGAGGAACAGTCAGAATGACAGAGGCCAAAGGGGTCATAGAGGGACCTGTGTTTGTTTAGGCTTGAGGAGGTTTCGTTTTAGCATGAAACACTCAAGAATTATTCCCTCGGCCTTCCATTTGGTCTTGGAAACTGACTAAAGGTTACCAGCCCAATCCAGAAGTCCTGCGACAGGCAGAAGAGGGCATGACTTTGTTTTTGTTTGTCTTTTTTCCTATCCCAGCTCATTGGGGGGTTTTAAATCAGATCCCACTTCCCCTCTGCTTCCGAGGCCAGGCGTGAGCTAGGATGGGAGGACATGCAGTGCCTTCCCGGCAGGAAGAATGGGAAGAATGGCATCTCAGCAGGCTTTGGGACACCCCGGCTCCCCTGAGGGGTCCCTCTGGGTGCGGCCCTGGATTGAGGAAAAGGGGAGGAGGGAGGAGAAAAGGCTCCAGGGAAGAGCTGGCTCCTACCTGTGCTGGACCGGGCCTTGGGCCTGGACTTGCATCCGAAGCCGGTGGGGGAGCCGCCCAGCAGGCTGCTGGGGGGGAAGAGTCCGGAGCTGTACTCGGGCACGTAGGGCGGGTAGGTGGTGATGGGGTGGTGGGTCGACGAGGAGGCTCCACCCAGGGCGGTCATGCTGCCACGGGAGTGGGACGACTCCAGCTTCATGCTGTCGGGCAGGGGCACCTGGTACTTGAGGCACTCTTTCTCGTCCTGCCGGGCCGAGCCGGCCGAGCCTGGGGTGGACAGCGATGGGTCCGGGGAGACGTCCTTCGGCGGGGTGGGCGGGAAGGTGAAGAGGTGCGGGCTGGCGTGGCCCCCCGACAAGGAGGAGGACGAGGCCGGGGGGTAGACGGAGAGGGGCCCCGGGGAGCCGTGGTGGATGGACGTCTTGGAGAAGGGGCTGAGATTCCAGGGGGAGGCGGTGTGGTGGCTGCCCAGGGCTTTGCCGCCGTCCAGCCAGGGTAGGGATCCATGAAGCAGAGGCGGGCGGCACACCTGGCTCCCTGTGGGGCAACGGGGAAAGGGCAGGAGAGAGAAGGAGGGTGAGTGTGGCCCTGGGAGGCCGTCAGGGACACCTGGGGAATCTCTACCTCGCATCGGCCTCCTTTTCAGCAAAAGCCCGGGCTCAGGCCCACTCTCTCATCCTGGCGGTCCCCGGAGTACCTGCCTGGCACACCTGGGGGTCAGGCTGGGGACAGAATCCTTCACCCATCTCTCCCACAGGGATGTCCCATCAAATGTAGCAGAATGAAGGGCCTGTGGCTGACACCCGAGAGGTTGCTGCAGAGGGGGAGAAGGGCCCCTTTGCTTATTTGGCCTCTCCAGATACACCGCCTAAATCACATTCCCCAAGGTCTCTCTCTAGAACCTGACTTGATTTATGGGTTTCCTTCAATGGCCCTGAGTTCCCTGACTCGGACTTAATCCCAGCCAGCCTGATAAGAGAGCCGGCTGTGAGTGAGGAGGCCTGAAGGATGGAGCCCGGCCACACAACTGCTCCACACCAGAAAACGACCCTGGAGTCAGGCCCAGCTCCCAGCACCAAATACAGGAAGGAGAGGCCTTGGGACAGAAGTCAGGAGACTTTCAGGGTTAGTTTCCGGAAACCTAACCCAGTGCTTGCTCAGAAACGGCCAGGCTGCCCGCAAAAGGCCTAAAATGGGATTTGCAGGGACGTTTTCATTGCTCGGGCTGTTGGAGAAAGTTCCCAAGGCTGGACCCTGGGATGGCCATTTTCTCTGCTTTTCTCACCCTCCCAAATCCTAAAGGAGAAGGAGATAACGTAAGCCCCATGCACCCTCAATAAAGCTATGATCCCACCAGTGCCATGGGTGAATTTTCACCTGAGCCCCTAAGACACAAAATTCCAGTTGATGTGTATATTTTAAATGAAAGATGACTCAGACACAGAGTCTGATTAGCCTTCATTTAAAACGCACAATCTTAAGGTAGCTGTAACTCATACACTCTGAGGGGTACATTTAAAAAGCAAGTGCAAATCCACACACTTCTTGATCTTTAAAGCCAGTACCTGCCTCAGCATTTGACATTCGATTCAACCATTAAGAACAATACTGAAACTAAAATCTTAAGGGAGAGGAAGGGGAGGGGAGTGGAGAGGGAAAGAGAGTTCTCTGAACACCAAGGGTCAAGATTCATATTATGCAGGAAGTAGTATAGTAAATAATATTAAGTCTGCCTCTACCGCATTTCCACCTAACTGCTGATCCGCACAGAACGTGGGCAAAGAGCGCCCCATCCGCAGAAACGATTGTTTAAAACCTGGCGACAGCAGGGTAGAGGACGCCTGCTGCCGGAGGGGCTATGTCATCCGTGTCAAGGCAGGCTCTGAGTAGGGGAATCAGGGCAGAATTCGGTCTGGCTGGACTCAGAAAGCCCCACACTTTTTCTGCCCGATGTTTTACCCCTGTTTCTTCTTTAGGAACAAACTTAGAGCTGGAAAGTGTTCGATCTTTTTTCCTCAAACTACACAGGCCTGGTCTTCTTTTTTTACATTTCAGAACTCTCCTGAACTTCTCCAGGTGAAAGGGAGAAAGAGGTGGTACTGGAATTGCCTTTATTTAAACGGGGGTGTATCCTACATCTTAGGTGGGAGGCTAATGGAGGGCAGTACCCAGAGACAGAGTAAGGCAAGAGTTGCAGGCAAGGAGGCGACTTGAAAGCAAAGACGCAAGAAAATTCTGTGCAGCCGGGAATCTGGGAAATCTCAGATCCCTCAAACTTAAGACAGGGGTCTTCCCCCCCAAACCCCTTCAGCATCAGAATTCCATTCCTGAAGCCAGGAGGTAAGAGACCTGTCTAAAAACCAAAGGCACTAGCTCTGGGAAAAGGTCAAGGAGAAGGGTGTGAATAAATAGGTCTCTGGGGCCTTTCTGAAAATGTGCGAATTGAGGGACGCTGGCAGAGGGCCCCCTCCACCCCGCCCACCCGCCTAGAAAGAGCTAGCGGGTAACAGGGAACGCCAGGTTTTTTGGAAGAGCCGGGTTCCAGCCGTGCTTGTCCGGCGCCGGCTACCGGGCCCAGAGAGCCCGGACCCGCGGAGGCAGAGCCAGGGCACCCCGCGCTTGGGGACATCCCGAGACCCCCCACCCCAAAACCTGCAGCCGCGCAGAGACGGAGGGCTGCGGCCTGGCGCCCGCCAGGTGAGCGCCAGGCCCCAGGGCCACCAGCCGGGAGAGGCGCCTGCTGCGACTCTTTCAAAACACACTCTCGCGACGAGCCAGAGGCCTTCCTCGCCCATTTCCGGGCCCCAATTTTTTTGTAAATGAACCAGGAACGGCAGATGGGGGCTTTCGCTTGACCTCTCCCCGCCCTCAGGTCCCTCCCGACCTCCCCGAGCCGGGACGGCTGAAGCGGCCGGCGGGAGCCCCGGCACCCCGGGCGCACTCACCGTGGTGGGTCGGAGGGTACCTCTGCACCGTGGCCCTGACCGAGTTTCCGTAGTAGGGCGGGACGTGGTTGCCTTGACCGTCGATGTTAAAAAGCACATCCACCTCCTCCGGCAGCGGGTACTGCGCCGCGTCCATGTAGGAGTGGCTGAGGCCCGGGTGGTGCGTGTCCGGGTGCTGCCCGTTGAGCACGGCGGGGTGGTGGTGGCTCACCCAGCGCGGCTGGTCCGCCGTCACCTCCATGGCCTCGGCTGTGCTCGCGCCCTCTCGCCGGGCCCGGAACCCGCGCGCGGGGAGGGAGGGCGGTCCGCCTGGGAGGTCGGGGGGCTCCTGCCGTCGGAGGGTCGGGGGTCGTTGAATGATTTGCTTTCGGTGGGGGGATGGGAAGGCTGGGAAGCAAAGGTGAGCAAAGGAGAAGGTTTTTTAAAAATTATCTTGGAGGGGTCGTTTAGCAAAGAGAAGAAGGGGAAGACAAAAATCCAAAAACTGGGTACGGCAGAATAAAACGGGACCAGGTTGTAAAAAGGGGCGACGACTCTGCAATTCTGCGAGCCAGGCTCCTCTGCACCGGGGTCCTCAGCCGCTCGGAGGCGGAGTCCCTCCTCGGGTCACCTGCAAGGGAGAGAATGGGAGACCTGGATGAGCCCCTGAGTTGCTGGAGTGGCACAACCTCCCCTCGCGCCGCCCGCCCGCCCAGCGCACCCGAGACCCGCACGGGAGCGCGGGGACACGGCCGCGGAGCCCGCAGGGCTCTCGGGGACGTCCCTGCAGCCCGGCTCGCGGGAGCCGGGGCTGGCTGAGCAACTTGGAGGGCAAGTCCCAGGGCTGACTGTTACGACTTGGAGGGCAAGTCCCTCCCTCGGGGACACCGGTCCCGGGACCGTCCTCTCAGCCCCTAGAAAACCTCCAAAAGAGGAGAGTTGAGTTTTTAAAATTGATTTAGGTCCTCCCAAGTGGTTGGGGGCAAAAAATCAAACTTAAAAAAAAAAAAAGTCACCAGTACCAACCTGGGTAGCGAAGAGCAGAGAGGAGGAGGAGGCGGCGGCGTACGACCTGCTCGGTCAGATTGCGTTGCTCGCTCTGTCTCGCTCTCCCTCCGTCTCTCTCTCTTCTTCTCTCTCTCTCTCCCTCTCTCAGTATTTTTTTTTTTTTTTTACAGGGAATGCATTCTTTCTGAAAGTATCAAGACGGCGCCAGGCAGCTCAGTGTTCGCAGACAGCTGTGGCGCGACGCAACTTAAGGAGGTTCTAGTGTCATCCGCGCCGGGGGGGAGGAGCCTGGCGCTGGCGAGTAGGGGACAGGATCCCCGGCACAAGGAAACTGCAACCCAAACCCGCTCCAGGACTTCTCCCCCCGCCCCGCGCACCCCCGCCCCTCCTCCCGCCCCTCCACTGACCGGAAAGGGGCGCCGCAGAGGGCGGCCGCCGGCGGAGGGGCGGCGGGCAGGGTGGGCGAGGCCCGCGGGGCTTGGGGGCGGACGGGAGGGAACGCGCGCTCTGGCCCTTTAAATGTGGCCGCGGCTCCTGCCAATTCATTCGGGTCGGGTGGACGATTCCGTCCCGGTGCAGCCAGCCTGCCCCATTCATGAAGTTCATTTCGATGGGCAGAATTTTCTTTTTCAGACTTTTAAAAAATAGGCACGCATGGATCATTATTAGGATCTAATGCAGGGTGTTTGGGAGAGCGCATCGATGTGGGGAAACGTGCGCGTTAAATTGATCAGAAAAACAAAATGTTTCATGTCAAGGTATTTTGAGATTTGCCTCTCGGGCCGACTTCCTAAGAGGGTGAGTCATCGGATAAAGGGGAGATGCCTTTGACTGGAGCGTCCGCGTCAATTTTGTTGTCATTGTCACCTCTTTCCCGAGCCTTCTGCGCTCTCAAGCCCCCAGAGTGAACACGCTTCAGCTGTTGCAGCTGCCCTTTCCAGACCTAATATTTGTAATCAATGTGTGCTTTTGACTTGAGTGGCAACAGTGAGGGATGAGAAGGGGGGAGGGGAGGAAGAGACTGGCTCTAACTCATTCCCCGAGTACGCTCAGTGTAGACGGACAGAAAGAACTCGGTCTTCACTCTAGGGACCCAACTTTTCCTTTCGCCCCGCCCGGAGCCCTACTTACTCCGGCTCCCGGCGTTTCTCCCACAGTCAAGGAAACCAGCCCTCGGTCTGCACCGACCCCAACCCCGGCCTCTGGTCGGGACTCCACGGCGACCTTCCCCGGCTCGCGGGTCTCCAGGCCACGCTCTGCGCAATGGGCACCCCGGGGCGGAGGGCACGCGGCTCCGAGGCGCCCCAGCGAGAGGGGCGGGGCGAGCGGGGGCGGGGCCTGGAGGGACCAATCAGCGGGCGAGGCTGTGGCCGAGCCGCGATTGGTCCGCCCCGCGGGTTCCAACCTGCACCGCCCGCTCGGTCCTTTGAGCCACTGCATCCCCTAGCGGCGCCCGGGTGGCTGCAGCCGCTGGCCCGAAAATGCTGCTCGGGCGAGCAGGGGTCAGGCGGGAAAAGAAGACTCCAAATCCACTCTCTGCTCGCCCCCAGGGCAATGCTGCCAGGAGAGGGAGTGGGTTCCCCCGCAGGCTATCCCACCGATGGGGCTGAGAGCTTAATTTGGGGTTTTATTTGAATTGGAGACATTGTTCCCTCTTCGCTCCTCTACCCCATAAAATTCCCTACAAATGCAAAAATTCGAGATAGAAGAAGCCGTCCCTGAAAGTAAGTTCTGAAGGATTCCTTTCATGCGGTGAAGGAACAACAACAATATTCAACTTCACCTTGGTGTGTGAGGGTCGTCGTGTTTTAAAACACTATCCCTGTAGAAAGATTAGTGAAATGTATTGGAAGAAGTAGTGGAAACGTGAATCTTCCTGGTCTCGCGTTTGGATCTTCTTTGGAGTCCTCACCTTCTTAAATCTGATGTTTGTTTGAAATCAGGGCTGAATTTCCATATATAGGACAGAAAGAAAGAACCCCAATTTTTTAAAGAAAGCTCCCCCCCCCCCCGCCACGTTTCTCCTGAGCCCACTTGGTCTCCCGTTATTAGGCGGCCCAGTTAAGAGGCATCGATTTTCCTTTCATTCTCTGACCACTCGTCTCTCCTGGGCCAGCCAGGCTGCCCGCATCTTCTCCTGCTCACAGCGCTCTCTAAACCTTTTAATTATTTAGTTGCTGTCTAACATTCACCGGAAACCTCTCCATAAACAAGGAGAAACGAATGCACACGCATTTTTGCTAAGAAGCCCGGGATTAAGATTTAAGGATACAAGCTGAAAGAAAAAATGAAAAATGCTTCTCCGCGCGTCAATCGAGGGGTGGATGCGCCACGCAGCGTGAGCCCAGCTCACAGCCACGCGTAAGACCAAAAGCTGCCATGGGTTCTGCGCGCGGAGACCTCAGAGCCGAAGAGAGAAGTCCCCGCGTCAGAAACGCTGCGGATGCCAGGTCTTGAAAATGCTGACTTCTGAGGCTAAGAATTATTTCAAAGACAAAAAGAAAAGACTGGTGAGGAGGCCTTCCGGTGCAAGGGCGCCTATCCGCTAATTTTGGATGGGGAAGTAGGGATTATTCGTTTAAATTCAATCGCGAGCACCAAGTCGGACTGGCCGGGGATGGAGAAGGGCAACCCCCACCTTTAGAAAAATAAAAGATCTCGAAGGCCCTTCTTGGTCTGGGTGGTTTGAGGCTGGCAGAGAGGGGTGGGGGGCCTGGGGCTGGATGTCCCGGGTAATGGAGCCAGCCGGTAGGGGGTATTTAGCATTTAATTCCCAGCCGGCCCGCCCCAGTTCCCGGACTGACAGTGGGTAATTGGGAGAGAGGACGTTGCTCTTTTGATGGCCCGCGCCGGCCAGTCTCGCCGACGCCACACTGGGTTTGACGTCACGGGCCCAGCCCCGGAGCCCGGAGCACAGGGCAGCGGGGAAGGGAAAAGGATGGGAGGGGGATGCCGAGGAGGGAGGGCCGAGGTCGGCCTCGGGACCCACGGGGAAGGAAGGGGGAAGGGAGCGAGGCTGGAGAGGCTGCGGCGCGTGGCCTGAGGCGGAGAGCCGGGCTGCGGGGGTCCGGGCCAGGCCAGGCGCCGGCCTGACCCGCCTCGCCGGCAAGAGCAGGCCGGGCTTCCTCCTCCCTTGGCGGGCGGGGGAGGGAAAGGGGGATCCTGGCCGGGGGTAAGGGGGAAAGGTGGTCCTGATTCTCCCTGTGCCACCGCCACAAAGCTGATCCTGGCCTCCTGCGGAGAAGCCTGAGCGCCTTCCCGCAGACCTGACGCGACCCCCTCCCAGGTACCTGGGCCTCGGCCTGGTCTAGCGAGTCCCCTTCCTCCCAAGGAGCAGCCGGCGGAGCTCGGGTGGAGGAAAGCGAGGAGGCGACCAGGAGGATGCCGCCGCCGCCGCCGCAGGGCCCGGGGCTTCTGCAGGGCGCAAGGCCTCCCTCACCAGGGTAAGGGGCTGGCGATCAACCTGGACGCCTGGGACCTTGGGAGCAAGCATCCCGCAGCCGAGCAGGCGACGGCGCGGCCACCGCCTAGAGAGGAGCCGGGGCCCGGGGCGGCGTGCGGGTCGGCAGCAGCCGGCTTGGCCTATCCGAAACCCCAGGCCTGGAAGCGGCTGCTTTAGGCGTCAAGTTGAGCGGGGTATGTGTGTCCTCTTGGGAAAAAGGTGAGAAATGGAGCCGGACTTTCTCCACTCGGTAGGGGTTAAGCTACCACACACACCCCCAAACACATGCCCACGTGCAAGTCCCTCCCACCCGCCCTCCCAGGGGCGAAGAGACCCTGTCCCAGTGGAAGTGGGGAAACCCAGTCGGGTACAGAAAGCAGAGGCCATGGCGCAGAGCGGAGGCGCGGCTTTCTGGGGCTCAGCCCTAGGGCTACAGACCCAGGGCGCGGAGATGCTCGCGGCCGGGCCACCCACCAGAGCCAGGCAACCGGCGCTTCCAGGCGAGCTCCGCGGGGCCGAGGTGCCGGGAGAAGCGGCCCCGGGCGCCCGCGCGCTGCCCGACCTGGGTAACAGGCAAAGCGGAGCCCCGGGGTCGAAGTCCTAAAGTTACTAATCCCGCGGAGGGGGAGAGAGCGTGCCTCGGGCCGCCCGGGGCGGTCATTTGAGCGTGTTTACTTAAAGACTTTGCAAGCAGAGCGCGCGCGAAATCGTCGGATTTCCAGCGAGGCAGCAAATATTTGCAGGCAGAAGAAAGAAGCGGAGCCGAGCCGAGCCGCCGAGTCCCTCCCCCCGGAGCCCCGGAGCCCCGGCGCCTGCCTGGGCGGTCCCGGCCGCGCAGACAGAAAAGAAGCCGGGAATCTGCGGGGCTGGGGGGCGGGGAGCGACACCAAAGGCCAGAAACTGCAGCACGGCCCGAGGCCCTGGCGAGCTGGGCCTGGGGGAGGAGAAGTCCCTTCCCATTCCAGCTCGATCAATCTTGCTGGGCTGCGATCGGTCAATAAAAACGGTGTGAAGCGGCCGCTGTCGCTGTGAGTCTGGGGAGGAAGTGGAGGCCAAAGGTGTCGAGGCCGGCGCCAGTACCCCGCACCAGCCGGGTCCGCGGCCCCGCGGTCTGCACGTCGCAGGCCGGGGGCCAGAGCTTTGCCGGCAGCCGAGAGCGGCCCGGCGGGGCCTTTAATTGGGTGTCTCCATTTTAATAGAGGCCATTGTTGGAGCAATTAGAGAAAGACAATAACCGCCCAGAGACGTTTAATTCGATTCCCTGCGCCCGCCGCAGTACGCACCGGGGCGCTCTGGAAGAGTGGCCGAGGCTGCGCGGAAGGGAGGGTCCGCTTGGGGAGGCGCCGGCTTCTTTCCTTGCTTGCTTTGCCTTCGGTGTGGGAATTGTAAAGGGCGACTGGGGCAAGATGAAAGCGGGGCGAGGGCGACCTGAGCCAGGCCAGGGCCGGCCTCTCTAGCCCACGCCGGGCGCCCGCGGGACCGCCGCGCCTTTCGCGGCGCGCGTCCAGCTGTGGCCGCCGCGGAGGTCCCCAGCGCCTGTTCAAAGGAGAGAAGCCGGAGGACCGGGCCGTGAAAACTGGCCTCCTTCCTCCTTAGCCCCGGGTCCCCATTTCTGTCACCCGAACCATGTCCATATTTCCTTCCCTATGGTGGGAGGAGGGGCAAAGGAGAGATCCCGGGTATTGGAGCGCGCACACCTCCGTCTCCAACCCAGCCAGCCTCACCGCCCCCTCCTCCGCCTCGGCCCCTGGATTAGGTTACCCTGGCCGCGCAAGGGTTTCTACTGGATAGGACTATAGCACAGGTAAAGCTGTATAAACAGCTCGCCGGCTGCCGGGCGGGAGGGTTATGCCGGGGACACGGCTCCAGGCGCCGCCGCTGGCCCCGGCTGCGCGGGCCACACCGCGGGGAGCCCGCTGCGGCAGGGCGCCCCGGACCGCGCAGGTTAAATACATATTATCTCTGTCTCTGCCACTCGGGCCCCCGTTTTCTTTCCCTTGCGAGCTGAAATGCGGAGAGCGGGGAGCAAGACCTAAACGGGAAGAAAAGGCAGTCGGGCAGTGGGCAATACTGGTTGAGGATCCCGGCCCAGCAAGGCTGGCTCTCTTCAAACAAAACCCAGAGAGCAGGGAACTTGGGGGAAAGCAGAGAAAGAGGGACCCTAAAACTCACTGGCAATGGGAAGATGATGGAGGCGGGTGCGTCCAAGGGGCAACTCTCCTCGCGGCTCCCACGCCCACGCGCCCCGGGCCAGGAGTCTACCTTCCCCGTGAAATGAGCTATCGTTTTGGGGATGGTATGTGATTTGATTTACCCTTTTTTCTTTTCCTTCCTTTAGTTCTTTTTTCTTTTTCTTTTTTCTTTTTTTTTCTGTTTGTTTGTTTGTTTTGCTTATTCATCGATCACCGTTTAAAACTCGGAAGGAAACCCGCCCAGGCCAGGAGAGCCGCGAGCCGTGGGGAGAGTCAAAAAAGAGGAGATGCGCTGGGAGATTCCCCCCGCCCCCGCACTCCGCCCCCAGCCCGGCCCCGGCCTCCACTTCGAGGGATCCTGACCCTCCCACCGCCACTACCACCTTTTCCCCGGTTGAGAAAACCCCTGATTGTAGCGAGATAAAAATTGGGTAGGTAGGGGTGCAGCGGAAAGGGGGAGACAGGAAGGGAGAGGGCAGGGGATTTCTGCTTTCGGGTTTAACAACTCACACGTGAGGCGAGTGGCAGTTGGGGGGAGCCCCGGGTTGGGTGGGAGAGAAGGAACTCGCCTTGAGGGTGAGTGGAAAGGAATTGGAGTCACCCTGGAGGAAAAGTGCCCTTTTCAGCTCTCTCCCTCCCTCCTGGCCTTGGCAGGTGGGGGGACAGGTGGGTGCCACGGGAGGAAAAGAAGGGGTGGAGGCAGCCCAGCCGGCGTCCCTGGGTCTCCCGGGCTTTGGACATCTTACCCTGCCCCCAGTGGCATCAGTGACTCCTAGCCAGGGGCTTGCTACTTCTAGACCCGACCTCTCCTCCGTCCCAGGGGGCCGCTCAGCCACACCGCTATAGCACCCAGGACTCCGGCCCCTGCACCAAGGAAAGGCTCCAGCCTGGCAGAAATTCACCCATTTCAAGGCTTGGCCCACCAGGCCTTAGCATTGCCGGGTGAGGTGGGGTGCACGCGGTGTTCAGTCTGGCCAGTCGGAGTCACCTGCTCCACTCCCCCGGCCTGGTCACCCACATCCTCACAGCCACCCAGCTCCTGAGCCCCCTGGCCAACCACAGCCCCAACCCCCAGCGCTGGCCTCAGCCGAGTCTCCTCCGTCTGCTTCAGTTTGGCCTTTTAGGAGGAGAAGGAGGGCTTTATCTGGGGACTATTGTGTTTTGACTCATCTAGATTAGCCTAGGAGCTGGAGTGTGATTGTAGCGGGACACTCTGGCAGGGGATGTGTTCACAGCACGGATAGGAAAAGAGGGGGAGGGGGACTCCATTCAGATCTTGGAGACAGTAGAGGCGCGCTTTTAAAAGCACAAACCGTTCTTGTCTTCCTTTGGACATGCTAGAGACCACCTGGTGAAAAAAAAAATCCATGTTTGTGCCCGACTCAGAGGTGCAAAGGAGGAGGTTTGGCATGCGCACCCTTCTCCCGGCCTCCCTTGGTCCCGGACTGCCCCCTACCCGCAGCCCCTCCCTCCGGGCAGCTCAGCTCTAGGCTGCCTTCCACCTCGCGGACCCTAAGCAATTTGTTATATAAAACAAAACAGCAACCAGACGCATGTGCCTGTTCTTCACTAACGCCAGCAGACCGGCAGCGACGGATACCCGGTGGACCTCAGCCGGGACGCCTCGGGCAGCAGCTTCTTGCCCGCTGCCGCACCCACCTCTGCACCCCAGCTCGGGTCAGCCCAGCAGCCAAAGCAAAAGGGGGATTCCTCAGTTTGCTCCCTTGGAGGCTACAAAGCCTCTCTCTGGTTATTCCAACCGTTAAGTAAAAAAGAGGTGATGGGAAAGATTTGGTCTGCACACAAAGATATACCAGGAGAAGAATGCACATTTATGTGTAAAATGGCTTAGGCACCAAGAATGAGACATCACTTCAGTGCAGCCTAGAAATAGTTAAAAATAACCGAATGCTAGAGGACAGAGGTGGTTTTGGGATCTGCCCCACACTCCTTATCAGGATCCCTAATTCCCTGCCACCTCCTATGGTTCCAGGACGCAAACTGCTTTAACCTCCAGAAGAGGGGTTTTCAGCCACCTGGCTCCCACCTACCTGCCGGTTCCCCAGGCACTCTGTGTGACCCAGGGCAACTGGACAACCCAAAAGAAAACCCCTACCAAACAATGCTCAGGGCTTCCCACTCCCATCCCTTCTCTGCGCCCCTGACTGTCCCCACCTCGTTTATCTTCTGCAAGAAGGCAGGGTGTAAATGTCAAATAAAGAAAAATGCAGCTTGCCAGATCTCCTTGCTTTTGGTGGGGACAGAATAGCCCCAGTGCTGGGGCTGGCAGAGATCTCTTGTGCAGAGTGGAGGATGGGCCCGTGGATTGCAGCCGCTCCGCATTTTCTAAGCCCTGCGGCTTCTTGGGCCAGGGACTTAAGGCTTTACGGGGCAGCTGGCTGGGAGCTGCAAGCAGGGCCTCCTGCTTGATCCCACCGAAAGACTCCATAATCAGACCCCCTATGCGACCCGACACCCAATGGGGTCTTGGTCTGAACTGACACCACGCCCCGACTGGGTTCAAATGGGTAGAAAACAATTCCGTTCTTCTGAATGGCACAAACATGTCATGGTAAGCCCCTGACACACACACACACACACACACACACACACACACACACACACACTGCCAGCCATTTGGGCCCCCAAGCATCTCATTTACAGATGCCTGGATGGACTCAACCTGCCTGGCTAGACCCCCAGCCCACCCACTGCTACTACCACTACCTTCTCGGCAGCAGCCGCTAGGCAGAGGAGGCTTTGGAAATGCTACTTCAACATGGATCCCTTTAAAGTTCTTAATCTCCCATCTGCGACCCCAGCATCCTGGTGAGCATGGACAATAGGGAGGAGAGAAGGACCAGGAAATATGGGAA
The DNA here is from genome assembly GCF_000001405.40 of Homo sapiens. Taxonomy (NCBI): domain Eukaryota; kingdom Metazoa; phylum Chordata; class Mammalia; order Primates; family Hominidae; genus Homo; species Homo sapiens. The sequence continues at coordinate 8,046,399 of NC_000010.11, read as the reverse complement.
CGAAGCCGAGGGAGATGCCGCACTTTCCCCCCTGCCCTTGCCAGAATCACCGGTGTCACTTTCCTCAGGCACCCTGTTGGTGTCCGAGAGAAAGAAAAGGCATGTAAAGCAGCTGTCCTGCCCAGATTCACTCCACTTCCTTGACATTTTAACAATATCTGTCTTCAGGGGGGAACTGCCTCTGAGTGACTTTTTGGAGGTCTGTTGGTCTGCTGTCCCGGGAGTTAAGTCCAAATCTTGTCCTCTCTGCCCCTTCCGCTTCGGATGCCCCTGGGCACCCTCTGGGGAGGCTGCGGTTTTCTCACCCACCTCAGGGTGCTCCTGGAAGCAAAGAAGCCTCCGGACCCCTAGCTTCCCGGGGGTATGCCAGATGCAGACACATCTGGGTTCCAACTTTATCTTACAGAGCAGAGCTGTTTCTTTAATTATATGCAGAGACAATGAGCCTCAACACACACCTTTAAACAGAGGAAAATAAACATGAAATTGACACTGAAGCCACCTTTAGAAGAAGGCTCCTGGGCACAGGGGTTGTTTTCCCCAATCCTCTGCCCTCCTTGCAGTGGGAAACGTGTCTCCGGCCCTTTCCAAGCATTCCCACGGGCTCTCATTCTTCCGTTGGGTTTTTCTTCACATCCCTACTTCTACCAGCTCTTTCCTGCAAACGAGGACATCCACACACTCACACACCGTACCCGCCCAAGGTCACCACAGAAACCCAGAGATTTCCAGTGACCAAAAAGAACAATAAGAACTGGGTTCTAGTTTAGTTTCTTTCAGAGGGAGTCTGCCCTTTGGAGAGGAGGCCTCCTCCTAATTCTCTCCACGTGGAGCGGGCAGAGGGAGTGCGGAGTTAGAGAGGGAAGAGAGTGATATTCACTGACCTGGGCAGCTCGCTCCCGAGGGCCAGCTGTTTTTTATTTTTTTTCCTGACTCGCCCGGAGATCTGAAGGCAGAAATGACAGGCAGAGTTCGCCACTGTGGCCGCCGCTGCCGTCCTGGCCGCTGGAACTGCTCACCGCATCTCAGGCGGGCTTCCAGCGAGAGGTAAAACCTGGGCGATGTACGTTCTTCCTGGGAGCCCCCTCCCCTCCGCCTTCTCCTGCTCACTGTAGAGAGCGGAGCTCTTCCGGGTTGCGAAGAGGGAAAGGGAGGGAGGGAAGGAGAAACAGCGAGGGAATGAATTTCACCCCCTTTTGCAAACAGGCAAACCGCACATCAGGGGTGTGTGAAACTGACAGATCTGGCGGGGGTGGGGAAAGGCGGCCTGAAATGTGACCGGCCCCTGGCGCCTGCACAGCCCGCTGTCTTCTGGCAGGGTTGGGATTAACACTATACATGTCATCAGAAGTGTTGACTAGGTCATTACCATAGGCATAAACCCATGCATGGCATTTTCCTTCCACTTTTGGGAGCATTGGGGACCCAGGGGGAGCCTGTCTTGGTCCGGCCAGTGGCATCCATTAGCAGGTCGAAGGAGTTAGGGTCTCTGCCCTCCAGGGCTCTCCCTCTCCCTTCCGACTATTTCTCCTGTTTCTGTCTATGCTGATGCCTCCAAAACGCCCCCATTCTACTTTCATCTCTCCTGAGCCGTAGTTGCCCCGTAAAAGTTAGGAGGTGCAGGATGCTGGGTGACGGGCTGCTACCCTCTGACCCTCCTCGGAGTAGGCATAAGAATATTTGGAGATGGGGTATCCTTGGGCACACATACCAGAGGTTGGGGGCACTCTCTAGGGGTCTCAATTCTTTTTAAGAAGACTTCTAGGGAAAATCTGCCTTCTAGCAGAGTGAGATAAGAAAGCAGGAATCAGAGGTCGCGCTGGAGATAAAATGTCAGAAAGAAAATGATCCCGCTGGGCCACCCATAGGGCCATGTAAACTCCAGCCCTCCCTGCAAAACCACCTCTCTCCCGTACCATCCCTACCCCTGCTGGTGAGGAGATCAAAATAATCCACGGAGAGAGAATCTGTCATGAATAAATTTCGGCAAGAGTAAAATGAAACTCCATAAACATTGGGGTAGAAAGGCCAGAGTCCATTTGTTTTGACAGGTAGAGTTTTCCCTTCACAATATTTATACAATAAGAATATGGAGACTGACTTTAAAAATAAATAAATCTTTGGGGAGAAATAAAACAAAATTTGTCTGTGGCTGGGCCAGGAAGTTAAGAAGTTTCTTGTGCTCCAACCGGTTGGGTAGGAAGAAGTTGCTATTTTCATGGGGCAAAGGGCTTGGGGGTGGCCATTTCGTGGCGGGGAGGCCGAGGCACTTGGTCCCTGGAGTCGGGAGAACTGGGGTGTGGACAGAGGTGGAGGTGGTTTGAGGGCGAACCCTCGTGGACATGGGGTTCAGAGAGCAGTTGAGCGCGATGCCCAGGCTGGGGGCGCCACTCTAGGAGCCGGGCCGCAGCTCTGCGCGGTGGGCCCTCCTGCCCTCTCCTCTGGTTCCATGGCCTGCCTCCAGACGCCAGAACCCCAAACCAGCCTCCACCCAGGCGCACCCCAGCCCGTCAGCCAACCCCTGTGCGCCTCCGCTGCACACCCTGGGGGTAGGTTTAGGCCGAGGGTCCAGGGAGAGGGATTTATGATTTGCCAAGCTGGCCAGGTCTGTCTGCCCTCTGGGGAGTCCCTAAGTCCTTCCCTCTCTGCTCCCCCGTCGTCACGAATGCAGCCCCTCCTCCACCTTCCTGCCCTGTGCCTCCCGCCTTCCGCCACCAAGTGGCAGAGCCACGTTCTTGGCGCGTTTTGAGGACCCAGGGAGAAGGCCATCTCTTGACAGCTTGCACCCAACCTGTTGCCCTGACGAACGGGGTCGGGGGGGTGGGGTCTACCTGGCCTGTCCCAGGAAGGCCCCTGCGGCTGGGAAGAGAAGTGTCGCTGGCATTCCAGACCCCCAGAGGGTCCCAACAACGCCTACTCCCTTCTGGCGCGCTGCTCCCCCCATGGGGACTAGGGCGGGGGCCCAGGGAGGGGGCATCCGTCACCAAGGCGGCGACAGTTGTCTCCTTGGCCCGGGCATTAACTGTACCTCAACTCGCCGTCCACTAGGTCGGAGGGGCCACTTGCGTCTTCCTCCAGCCTCCCTTCTCCGGCTTCTGGTCCTCATTCTCCCGCCCCTCCTTCTCCCTTCCCCGCCTTTGGCTCTCCTGCCAGGGGAAAGCCCTTTTCCCTTAGAACCTGCAGCACGCAACAGCACCCTCTGAGACCCAGGGCGGGCTCTCCTATCTCTCCTCCGTCCCCCGGGCCACCCCGGCCCTGAGCGCCGACGACCCTCTCTCCGCCTGTTTCCCGTCGATCTGGCGGCCTCGCTCCTCGTTCCTTTTCTGCTGACGCGGGCACTTGCTTTTCTCGGGTCCAAAGTGACTCCTTGATGAGGGGTTGTGAAATCTGATGGCCTACACACATCTCCCCATCACCCCAATTCTACCTTTAAGGGAAGATGCCTTGATGGAAGGAAATTTGACTGCCAAAGAGACTCAGGTTTTAAAAAGAAAATCCAAAGGGCTTAATAAAAATACAGCTGTTTTCCAATTTAATGATCAGACAGGGGCAAATGCTGCCAGCTGGACATTTCTTGCTGTCTTGATGGGCTTAGGGGTGGAAATCCTGCTGATCAGGCCGAGGTATTCCAGGAGAGTTGGGGCAGGTTTGAGGATGGGGAGGAAGTGGGGGAGGAAGGAGATAATTTATTCTGAGAAGGAAGCAAAGTGAGAAAAATCCTCCCGTCAGTAGCTTGGTCGGACTTCCTGGGCAGTAGGGCTGAAGATTTATCTCTGAGGAGTGGACATCAGGCCAGGCACACGGCAAAGATACTGCTTTAATGAAGCCCCAATTCGCTTCCTGAATTTTAAAAGCTACCACTCTGGCTCACTGATTCATGGCTCCGGTTTCTGTGCATGTAAATATACTTGGGGGTGACAGAGGGCGAGAAGAGAAGAGAGAGTAAATGACATTCTGTATACAGGGACAACTGTCTATAGCTTACACACTAAGGAGCAACGGAGCCCAGTTGCTCAGAACCCGCCCTAACCTAACATGCCTGAGGGGACAGGGGTGGCTTTGCTCCGAGGTTTTAGGACTTTCTGGGAGGGAATCTTTTCATTGAAAAGTTTTTGAGTGAGGTGCATGCCTAGAGTCCCAGCCCAGGCACGGACCCACTCACAGCCACACACAGACACGAACACCCACTGCTGGTCACCTCTTCCTCGCACCCCATGACGCTGCACCCTGCTTCCGACCTCTCTGGCTCCATTTACCCTCCCTGAAGCACCTACCACCAGCCTTGTAGCCCTTTGTCCCTGGGCGGGCGTTCATGCTTCTCAGGTGTGGATTCAGAGCTGAACCAGCTAGAGAGACGGACCAGAACCCTGGTCCTGGAGTCAGAGCTTGGCTTTGGGACTCTTCCTGAAGGCAAGCGCCTCATCCTAATTGGCACCGGCACCAGCCACTTTCAATCCTGTGGTACATCCTGAGAATTTTATGAGACCACGTTTCTAGAAGCTAAGGCATTTGATTGGATTTTAAATATAAAGGGAAGTCACCGGACATGTGGAGGTAGAAGATGGATCAGTAAATGACTGATAGATAATAGAAACAGTGTGTCCAGATCTCCACGATGGCCACATAGATATGAAGTTCACCTGTTGGATAAAGAAAAAGAGATCCTGTAGGAAGAGGTAATCAGTGGCAGAATCTCCAATCTTCCTAAGAACGTGTGGCCACATAGAGTAGCTCTGTGTAGAGCTGCAGAACCAACATATTTATTCATCCAGGTTTCCAACAACTTGTTTCTTTTCCCTAAAACAGATAATATTTTTCTTTCTGCCCATCAGTGTTCAGCGTCACCCTCCCTTTTCAATTGTTCTACCTTCCTACAAATACTCAGATTGGTTTAGTTCCTTAAAGTGCACTCCTCCACACAACAACACACACCACCGGGTTTGAAAGTTCTAATCTTCCAACTCCACTCATTGAGATTTATTTTATTATAAATATGCGTGGGGGTAGGAATTGAGAGGGCATAAAAGAGGTATCACATGGGAACAACCCAGTTTTCTGTTTCTTCTTATAAAAGAACATTTTTGTTAAACTCCCTTTCAGGACCATGACTACGACTACATTTCCGGGACCAAGAACTGTAGCCCGGGTGGGGCGGGTGGGTGATGGGGGCCTAGGTGGTCTGAAACTATGGATATCGCAAATGAAAGTTTCAAAAGCAATGACTGAAAATTAAAAAAAAAAATCAGACCTATTCCACCCAGGCGCCCTAAATAAATAGCCCCGTTTGCAAATTCCTATCAATTATTACGTGATGGGAAAAAATCCTATCTGAAAATAAAGCACGTGGACGTGGAGAATTTTAATTAAATCTTACTGTGGATATAATAACATGGAAGTGATTTTTCATTCGGCGCTTGCCTGCTCACCAGTGTTTTATGGCGTTTTCTTGCCTCTGACTTTATTTTAAAATATTAGACGAGGTGGAGAATTATAAACGACTCTTTCCTTATCTGTGCTGCTCACATATCCAGGATCAGAGGAGCTGATTAAGAAAGAAGTCAGAGGCAACGTTGGATTCATAATGATTTGGAATAATGAATCCTTATCTCTGCTTTCCAGATTATCTGCCTTTCAGCTCCCAATGTTTTGTTACATGGGATAATTTATTGCATCTAATACATCACAATGAATCTGATGGTAGAAAGTGATGGCCCATGTTGTGAAAAGGGGGCCCTTATTTTTTATCCTGGGGCAATGAAACTGCTTTTCGCAGTTTTTAATTGGGAAAATATAAGGTAGATCTGATAAAAAAAAAAAAAAAAAGCTGAGTATAATCTTGCCTGCTCGTGCTTTACCACGCTGCTCTTTAATTAGTGTGTCAATTTCAGGCTGAAATTAACAAGATCGACCTGAAACTAGTGCTTAGTTTCTCCCCAGCGTGGAGATCCTAATTTTTAACATGATTTATTTTTATGAAAAAGGAGATAATTAATCATAAACACTGACTAAAGCACAGGGCCAAGTTAAAATAAAATGCCATTTGCATCTTTATATAGAAAGATACCAATAATGTTAATTTTTCTGAGATGTTCTCTC